>NC_000011.10:102626970-102930000 GCF_000001405.40 Homo sapiens | reverse complement strand
AGCGTATAGACCCCTAGTCTAGTGTGACTCTAAGACACTGCTATTTCAGTGGGCAAACATTTGAGTATCCCCTAGGTTGTCCTTAAGCCTAGTTGAATGAGCAAGATAGGCGGGGACCCCTCTATTCTGTTACCAATGATAAAATTGCGCTCTATCAATTTTACTGACTGGAGAAGAGTGCTTACTAAAGGCCTAGCCGACCTTACACGTTCAGATAGAATTCTCTTTTCCTCTTCTACAAAGCACATTGCTTTTACTTTTCTTCCAGCATTTGTGTCTCCCATTAGCTTGCAGAAGCATTGTGGGATCACATCTTGTGCCTACAGCTCTGCCTTTTACATAGAACGTTCTGAACCAAATTGGATTGAAGCTTGACCCTGATATGGAACTATGAGGCTCCACATAACACACAAATTTTACAACACAATGATGGTGCCAATGTTTCTAAAGGACTCAAAGCCGCCACAGAAATGGTAACCTGAACAGGTTCATCATTGCCACATTAAACAGTAAACTTCTGGGGGCATGAGTAGTGAATGCATTTGATTCTGACAGACTCTCACACTGTCCTCAGCTTTCCTCTCCCTCTCTCTTCTAGATAATATGTTACTTGAGGGTGGAGGCACTAGTTGTCTCCTATTGTTGATGATTCTTTTCCTATCTCTCTACCCCAATGTCAAATGCTGTTATAGCACATGTCAGTGCTCGAGGCATAGTTCATGAACTGCACTGAGTCTACTTCTGACATGTAATTAATTCATCCAATCCTTGTTACGTGGCTTCAACCCAAAGCCCTACTATCCTACTGAGACTGTGCTTTCCAAGGTTTTCTGAATAGCTGTGTTTCTTTAATTGTCAAGCATAAGAGTCTTTATTCCTCATGTCTTTGACTATTTTTGGACATCAGGGAATGGTTAGGGGTGGAAGCTTTTGACGCTGCTGACATCTGCCCACTTTTCAAAGGTCCTGGCATCCATGGCTTCTGTAAGGTCACACTTAATTGGTGTTTTGCTTAGTTCTCTTAGTTCTGAGATTTTTTTCTTCTGCTTTCCCATAAATGTTCTCTAAGTTTCTCTCTTCAGGCCTTTTCTTTCTCCTTGTCATCCTGCCTTTTCCTGCTTAATGCACTTCTGGCATTTCCAATGGCTCTTTCCTGAGAAGACACTGCCTCTTAAGGCTGTATCTCTAGCCCAATCTTGATCTGAATTTTGAGTGGTGGTTGCAACTCTCCATTTGAAGTTCTTGGTGGTGACACTGAACTTCACAAAGCAAGACAGTGCCTGATTGGTCCCAATTTGCGTCACCGATGTCACTCACCTCTTGTCACTTATCTCCTAATTTTTTCCCTGTTCTTTGACCACGTTGGTGCCTTTCTGTTCTTCCCACCTATCAAGCTCATTCCTGCCCCAGGATCTTTGCAATTGCTCTTCCCCTTTGGGACCCACCTCCCCTGGTTCTCCACACCGCTGGCTCCTTACTCTTAGGCAGCCTGGGGGCAGCTGCTGTCTTTCATGGAACTCTGTTCTACTTCCTCCATAGGGTTTATCACTCTCTCAGTGTGGATCTGTTACCTGTTTGTTTAAATGCAAGTTTTATGAGACTGAGTCTCGGTCACATTGTAGCCTTAGCACCTAGCACCCATTAGACATGCCATTACTGAATTCTGCATTAAGAAAACCTGGGTTTTAGTCCTAGATCTGTTACTGACCAGCTGTGTATGCTTGGGCAATTCACTTTGCCTCCTCAGACAACCGTTTTCTCTTCTGTAAAAAGATGGAGCTCTGATTTTTAAACCACTTTCCATGCACCGTCTAAGAGCCCCCCTTAGGTGTGTGTTGGGGTTGGGGAAGTAATGAGAGGAGGCCTGAGTAGGAAGTATGTGGGACCCTCCCACCCAATCTTACCCCAACAAGAATCATTTTCCTTTTATTTTGCTACACGTATTGGACTCCCATTTAAAATTTCATGTGCAGAAAGATGCCTACATTAAAATTAAACATACAAATTTTAAAATCACTGATTCTGATCATTATTAGGCCTTTTTCATCTTGAATTATGACTCTATCCAAAGCACTTTTCCTGTCTTCCCACAAGCCAATTTGAATTTCCTAGTACTATTTTTGGTTTTGTCACACAAATCCAAAACTTCACAGTTGTTTTTGACAGATTCCTGTTCCTCCCCTCCTCCACCCAGCTGGTTGCCCAATTCTCCTAAATGCCTTCCTCATCAGTTTCTTATTTTTATTCCCACTGCCTAAGCCCTGGGTCAGGATCTGATAACTTCTTACCCAGACCATTGCAATAGCCTGCATACTGTCCTCCCTGCCTCCTGTGCTGGTCATCCTTTCCCACACAGTTACTAATTCATCTTTCTAAACAATATTCTAGTAGTTTTTGTTTAAAACCTTCAGTGGCTTTTTATTGCCTATACAGTGAATCTAGATGACTTATCCAGGATCCTGTCCTAGACAAAGCACAGTCTGTGCCTACCATATCCACAGCCCTCTCCTCACAGTCCCATACACAGGGGCCACCATGTTCTCTCCCACAGGATCCCACTGTCCTGGCCAAAGCATCTGGCTAGACATATACAGTCTGGACAATGACCTCTAAGGCAACCTGGCAAAAGAACTTTGCCTAACAGATGTTCTATATTGGATGGCAGTCAATTGACTAATCAGCTGCTCTCTCACAGAAAATTTAAATGCAAGATTTGAGGGAATCCACAGACATTAGGGTACAATAGAGTAAAAAGATACAGAAAGAAGATGAGTCGAGAAGAAGCTATGAGTCAGGAGAAGTCATGAGTGGGTGAGAAACCATCACGCAGAGACGGGAGCAGAGGGAGTTCTTTGCCAGCAAGAACAGAAGCGGAAATGGAGATAGAGAGTAGCTGACCCGTATGGATGGACACATGTTGTATACGCTACTTTCTCCACAAAGTCACCCTTTGTCACACTAGACCAATGTCATCTGCCTTCTAAACACAGCACTTAACTCTTCTATTTTGGTTTTAATTCCATTTTGTATCTTTTGGGGCTCTTTGAATGCAAGTAGTAGAACTGAATTCTAGCTAAGGATGCTGGGGAGTTCACAGAATTGAAAGTAAAGCTCAACTCCTATATATCAGGAAGGACAGGATCCAACAGAGTCCTGATATATTGGAGCAGGAACCCAGACTTCCTCTGGCACTCCACTGAGATGATTCTGCTCTCCTGCTTCCATCTTATACTAGTCTACCCAAGAGGGAAACTCCAGGAAGAGAGAGCTGTGTTCTCTTGGCTGAAGGCCATCAGCCACTCTTGGTGGGGCAGTATAGGGCTGACTAGACTTACAGCCCATAGCACAATGACCCTGGGGGACAAGGAAGGGAAAGGTCCTCAGAACAGAAGTTGGGTGCTTTTACTAAAAGACAGAGAATATTCTGCTGGCAAACAAAGCAAAACAGATTTGCAGTACATACCCTTCATATTTTATGATTATTTGCAGAATTGTCTTTTTCTCCACCTTAGTGGAGGCAAGTAAAACATTTTCCCCTTGAGAGAAGGATCCATTCTTTACTTTTCTTTGATTCCTCAATAATTACAGTCTTATTACTAATGGCTAACATTTGTGGAACACACACAACGCGCCATGCACTATGCTGAGTGTGTTATGTCTGTATCATCTGATCTTCTCAACAGACAGATATAGTAATTCTATTATTAAGCTCACTTTATAGGAGAAAAAACCATGGCTTGAAGAGGTTAAGAGTTTTCTTTGAAACACAGCCAGTAAGAAATAGAATCAGGGTGTGGACTTTTGTGTGATCCCAAAGTTCATGTTCTTAACCACTCTGATGTACTGACTCCACAGTATATGAGATGACTGATATATATTTCTAATAAGAGTGTTTTCCTTGCTTGTTCAAAAACTCTTTTAATACTTCTTGTAGTCCTGCACATATCTACAACTTAACAGATTTAGCGAAGACTCAGAGAAAAGCTAAGGAGAAGTAGCAAAATAGCAGAGAAATCACTGAGGAAAGAAAGCCTGAAAGAAAATTATGATCCTCAGTGTGAAAAACCCCAAAGTACATGGTCAAGTGAACCCCACTGACCATGGACAAAGAGACATCCAGATTGTTGAAAATAAATGAGACTGCCTGGGTGCAGTGGCTCACGCCTGTAATCCCAGCACTTTGGGAGACCAAAGCGGGCAGATTACCTGAGGCCAGGAGTTCAAGACCAACTTGGGCAACAGGGTGAAACTCTGTCTCTACTGAAAATACAAAATTTAGCCAGGTGTAGTTGTACGTGCCTGTAATCCCAGCTATTTGGGAGGCTGAGGCACGAGAATCACTTGAACCTGGGAGGCGGAGGGTGCAGTGAGTGGAGATTGGGCAGCTGCACTCCAGCCTGGGAAACAGAGCAAGACTCTGTCTCAAATAAATAAATAAAAATAAAATAAAATAAAATAAAAGAGACTGCCTATGAGGACCTTTTGTAGACTGAGAGAACATGGTTATTTTTACTCTAACACGTAGAACAGATCAAAATGTAAGTAAAACTAACAAGTTTTAAATAAAGTTATAGCTCACATGAAGGTTAAGGCTCTCTCAGGCCGCCACTACTTTTGCCGGTTGAAGTTAATGGAGCTCTCCACCACCTTGATCCTGCTGAGGGGCCTGGAGGCAATTTGAGCTTGCTTCACTTCCTCAATCTTCATATTCTTAGAATGTGACTTTCCGCCTCTAGCCGCCAGAGAAGTAAAACTGTCAGGATTTTTAGGCTACTGCTGGACGTGAGCACTGCAAGGACAAATTTGCTTCAAGGAGATCTCATGTGAGTCACTTGTGTTCCTAGAATGCAGGCCTCAGGAGGGACAAAAGACAGCATGGGCAAAACTGAGCTGAAATGAATGGCATCTGAAGGCTTTTGTGGCTCAGGTGGCAATGCTCTGTGCACTGACTTTACAACAAAGAATGATGGTTGTTCCCCTTTCTGGGTCCCATCCAGGGGATCTCAGCTGAGGGCGTATCCCATGGCAGGGTTACCCACATTTGGAAAAGACGACACTTGAGGGATGGGAGTGGGTTACATGGAAATTTGTGGCTTCCTCCACACTGTGACTCATTTAACCCACGTTCTGACCATAACTTCCATCTGCCTTCAGGCTCTTTGGATAATAGGGAAATAAAATCTTCATTCCTTCCTTTTCATTTTCTGCAGCACTTTTTAGCAGCTTTTGCTGATAAACACACACTGAGACATGCTAATTCTAACTCCCAGTTTGCTCGAGATGTTATTTCACATCTGCTTCAAAGCTGCTTTGTTAACCTCTCGAGCATCTCTGTCTTTTTATCTCCTCTGCCTGTGATCTAATTAGATCATAAGTCTTTGAGACCTGGATGGATCTTTTCATTCTCCAGTATACCTGAAGTTACATCTCACATGTTTACAAGATACGTAGGAGTTCATGATTGACCAAAAGCAAACAGAAACTGTTCCTCCATCCCTATGCAGTGTGCGAGTATCTGGGCTGGGTTTGAACAAGAAAGAATCGCCTTCTAGGTAGAAAGAACCAATCAATCAGATAAGAAATGCATAAAGTTTTTCAGTACAAATTTATATAGATGACTCAAAACACATGAAAAAAAGGAAATATGGAATGTTAAAATATTGTTGTTTTCAAGAAGTTGTTTTTCATCAGTTCATTTTATTTAGAACATTATCTACATGGGGTCAAAATATCATTTTCTCTTACTCTATACTTAGGACAGATCTATTGTTTTCCTTTATTACTAATCAAAAATAATTCCAAATTAGTTCCCCATTAGACAAAAGTGCAAACATACACCAGAGGCCAAAGTCACCTAGTAGTCTTAATCATTTTTTCAGGAAAGAGAAAAAAGGATCTAGTAACTTCCTCCTTATTGAACAACATGTCACTCCCTTGTTTAAAACCCATCAATGGCTGGGGTCAGTGGCTAATGCCGGTAATCCCAGCACTTTGGGAGGCCAAGGCGAGTGGATCACCTGAGGTCAGGAGTTCGAGACCAGCCTGGCCAACATGGTGAAACCCCGTCTCTACTAAAAATACAAAATTAGCCGGGCATGGTGACCCACGCCTGTAGTGCCAGCTACTCGGGAGGTTGAGACAGGAGAACTGCTTGAACCTGACAGGCAGAGGTTGCAGTGAGCCGAGATCGCACCACTGCATGCCAGCCTGGGCAGGACAGAGTAAGACTCCATCTCAAAATAAATAAGTAAAATAAAACCCATCAATGGTTCTACTTGGCTTTCAGAATTCAATTGAGACTCTTCAGAATGGCTTATAAACATCCACCTGTCCTGATGCCATGCACCCCATCTGCCTCTCACTCTGTGGCCCCGCATTCTCCTCTCCCCCACCTCCATACCTCCCCACCCCATTGCAACCTCAGCTTCAGTCATTCTTTCAGTTCCTTGAAGATGTGATGCTCTCTATCCTTTCTGGCCTTAGTATAGGACATTCTTCCCATCCCAGCTAACTCCCTCTTCAACCTTTAAGTCTCATTTTAAATGTCACTTCATCTCAGAAGTATTCCCTGGCTCCAGGTTTGAGTTAGGGGCATGGCCTCCCCCAACCCTTTTTTTTTTTTGGCCTTAAAATTGCCTATTATCTTTTCTGTATTCTCACTGGAAACTCAGTGTATGGTGGGGATCATGAAAAGTATATTCATATATGTGTATTTGTACATATCTGTGTAAGCTTAATGTATACATACATGTATATATAATAAAATGAGTAGGAGAGAGGTAGAGAGATTTGTCTCTCTTCTCATGATCTAGTGTCCTGGAGTTAGGTATTTTTGAGTGCTGGGCACAGGGAAACCCCGGGTTACCTGGAAAGTGGAAGTTCATGGTGAGGATGCTTGTAAATATGAGGAAGATCGGTGGAAGCTCTGCAGGCTCACAGCCATGCCATCCTTGGAGCAAGGCAAGGACCCCCAGACTGGGCCCCATACTTTATAGAGTGTCTTACACATTAAAAAAAAACACTTTTTAAATTTGGTATCATAAGAAGGTTTTTGAAATTTTGCTCCCCCTTTGAGTGAATGGCATTATGGGAGAAGGAGGCACAAGCTGCATTGGCCCACAGAATCAGTACAGACAAGGCTGAGAGTGCGGCAATATGTGTACATGGATGGTGGGGTTGGGGGGGGATCAAGTTTAAAATTGTCTGCCTCAGATCACATGAAGTGGGCATCTATGCAGATGAGGTCACCCAGATATCTTTGCTCCCTTGCTCCTCCCTGCTGGAGTCATGTAGTTTGGGCAGGTGCTTAGAACCACCTGAAAATCTTATGTCAGAAAAGCGAGGCATTGGGGAAGGTCATCTATGCACTATAGGGCACCTGAATTAGTCAGTTCCCATTCTAGGCTTGGGCAGGTCTAGTTATGCCGTGGTGTCAGAGCACAGCTTCCAGCCTGTCTTGCCCTCAGAGAGCCACACTAACACTCGGACTGACAGGCTGCTGGCCTGGAGGTTGGGGGCTGGAGGTGAGAGGTAGTGAAGGGATGGGATAAAGTGGAAGCGGGGACAGAGGAGTTCACACAACTTTGGCCTCTAGTCTGTGAGGGCCACATCTGAGGAATAAGCTGCAGGTTGTCAGTTGGGAATAAGAGCTGAGCCATGGGCATGAGTTGATGCGTAACTTCTAAATATTTAGACATATAGTCAGTAGGTTTCCACTCGCATTCTTACCCTTTACTCCCCTCCAATATTTGCAGTCGCCCTCCACCCAGCCTTGCTTCATAATCAAAATTTTCCTGTGCTAATTGACTTCCTATAAGTGGGCCTCATTACTTTCTACTTTAACTTTCTATTCAAGGAGTGATTTAACTTTTTTTCCATAAAAGGTATAATTAAAAGTAGGAATTGTATATATTTAAGGTGCACAACTTGATGTTTCCTACGAGTGTATATTGAAAAATGATCACCACATTCAAGCTAATTAGCTTGATTTATCACATCCTGTAGTTACTATTTCCCTCCTTCCTTCCTTCCTTTTCTTCTGTGGTGAGAACACTTTAGACCTACCCTCCTAGCAAATTTCAAGTAGACAATTCAGCATCATTAACTGTAGTCACGATGCTATACATTAGATTTCAAAAACTCATTCATCTTGCATAACCAAAGGTTTGTACCCTTTGCCCCACATCTCCCCAATTCCCCATCCCCCAGTTCCTGGCAGCCTCCATTCTACTCTCTGCTTCCCTGAACTTGACTTTTTAGATTCCACATAGAAGTGAGATAATGCAGTATTTGTCTTTCTGTGTCTGACTTATTTCACTTAGCACAATGTCTTCCAGGTTTATTCATGTCGTTGCAAGCTTTTTTATGCATGAGTACTATTCTGTTGTGTCTCTTTCTGTGTGTATATATATGTACATATATATATATATATCTCACATTTTTAATTTTTGAGACAGAGTTTCACTCTCGTTGCCCAGGCTGGAGCTCAATGGCCTGATCTTGGCTCACCACAACCTCTGCCTCCTGGGTTCAAGTGATTCTCCTGCCTCAGCCTCCTGAGTAGCTGGGATTACAGGCATGCACCGCCATGCCCGGTTAATTTTGTATTTTTAGTAGAGACAGCGTTTCTCCATGTTGGTCAGGCTGGTCTCGAACTCCCGACCTCAGATGATCCGGCTGCCTCAGCCTCCCAAAGTGCTGGGATTACAGGAGTGAGCCACCACGCCCTGCCTAGCACATTTTCTTTATCCATTTATTCATTGTTGGACATTTAAGTTGTTTCTATATCTTGGCAATTGTGAATAATGCTGCAAAGAACATGGGAGTGGAGATACTTCTTCAAAATCCAAATTTCATTTCCTTTGGGCATATACCTAGTGGGAGTGACTTAACTTTTTTTGTGTGATAGAGTCTTGCTCTGTTGCCCAGGCTGGAGTGCAGTGGTGCCATCTCAGCTCACTGCAACCCCTGCCTTCTGGGTTCAAGCGGTTCTCATGCCTCAGCCTCCCAAGTACCTGGGACCACAGGTGCCCACCACTACACCTGGCTAATTTTTGTATTTTCAGTAGAGTTCAGGTTTTACCATGTTGGTCAGGCTGGTCTCAAACTACTGACCTCAAGCCATCTGCCTGCCTTGGCCTCCCAAAGTACTGGGATTACAGGCATGAGCCACGGTGTCTGGCCAGGAGTAACCAAACTTTTAAGGTGGACTTGTAGTGATCCTATTTCTGTCTCTATTGATTTACCAACATGCCCATGTTCAAGCTTTCTCTGAGAGAGAATCCAATTGGTTGACCAGTCACTATTCAGTGTGGAGCCTCTCTGTTGGGCAGACTTTTCGTGATCATGTTCCAGAGACTATTTTCCCACCACGAGTGCCTTGGGTGAGGGATCACTCTTTGAGCTAATCATCTGTGGTCGCAATGGCAGGTCACACGTCTATATCAGCATGGTGACTTTTGCTCGGGAAACCACTTTGAGCAGCAGCTCTGAAGTGACTGCAAGCAGAGGAGGTGCTCAGCTCCATGCCCTGTACGTGCTCTTTCCCCCATCCCATACCCCTATCTTGGCCACCGGATGCAACTTTTGCACCAATTTTTTTTAAACAGTCGTTTGAGCAATTATTGTCATTCCCACCTAAAATACGCCAGCTGTGAAAATGTGTGAGAATGTAATCTAAACCATTCTGACTTCTGCAAAAGAGGAAGAAAAAAATAAGAACTCTTCCTACTTCAGTGTATGACTTAGAGCCTTTCACATTATTTAGGAAGATGCGGTCAGCTTTTTTTACTGTGAATTTACTATGGTTACAGTAATACATTATGTGTCTGGGTTTCATTTCCTCTACAATGATCGAAATTCGTCGTAATAAAATTAAGACAGTGGAAAAATAAGCTGTGTCTATTTGTAGACAACACATAAACTCCTTTTCATTGCATAATAGTTCAGACAAGTTTAGTGACTATCTTTGTATAATCTATAGAGAAATAAAGAAGGTTAGTTATAGAGCTTCTATCATCATGTCCTTAAGCTGACCTAAATACTGAATTGGTCATTTTTTAGTCCAGCAGTTTGGTCATACAGCCTTAGTTATACTTCATAATGTTACGTGGTACCTACCACTCTGAGTGGTGTGCTATGCTCAAAAGTAAACCAGACTGGGCGCAGTGGCTCACGCCTGAAACCCCAACACTTTGGGAGGCCGAGGCAGCTGGATCGCTTGAGGTCAGGAGTTCAAGACCAACCTGGTCAACATGGCAAAATCTTGTCTCTACTAAAAATACAAAAATTAGCCAGATGCGGTGGTGCATACCTGTAATCCCAGCAACTCAGGAGGCTGAGACACGAGAATCACTTGAACCTGGGAGGGGGAGGTTGCAGAGTGAGCCAAGATTTTTGCCTTTTCACTCCAGCCTGTATGATGGAGCGAGACTCTGTCTCAAAAAAAAAAAAAAAAAAAAAAAAAGTGAACCAGTAGGTTGACCTCAATCTTTCTTTCACGCCTACTCTTGGCTCCTTACTCACCTTTCCTCTGAAAGGATGCAGCAGAATTGGATAATGGGCTTTCCCAGGACTCTTTTGAGTTATGGGTCCCACCTTCCTGAACCTAGTTCTACAAAATGTGGATGTGGCATCAAAGGCTTCTCTAAAATGACCTATCTCAGTCTTTGTTCCACCTTGGGAAAAGAGCAGAAAAGAGATGAGAAAAATTGAAGCTTGAATTTGTTCTAACTAGAGAATTCAAGTTGTCAGAATCAAGAAAAGCTTCAAATATTGGATTTCTCAACTTTGATTATTCATTGGAACCAATCACCAGAGGTCTATGTTTTCTTTTTTTCTTTTTATTTATATATATTTTTAGAGACAGAGTCTTTCTGTGTTGCCTAGGCTGGAATGCAGTGGATATTCACAGGCCTGATTATGGTACACTACAGACTCAAACTCCCGGGCTCAAGTGATCCTCCTGCCTCAGCTCCTGAGTAGCTGGGACTACATGTGAGTGTCACCATGCTCGGCCAGAACTACGTTTCGAACACTCACACTTTAGCGCCAACCTGAGGATTCCAATGTCAAAGTCAAGGGTGGAGATTGGCATGTGTTTATATTTTAAGTTTCTAATGGGAAATTGATACTTAGGCAGGTTCGAGAACCAGTAACTTGGATGAGAGGTTTATAATTTGCTCTTTTCCCTCCTCCGTTAGTAAGCTAGAGTTTTATTTCACTAAACAATAGACAGCACACATTGGTGTTATCCCTGCCTTAGAAGGAGAAAAGTTGGTTTTCAAGAGTAACCTCCTCAATCCACCACAGCCCTTGAAAGAAAAGTGTACAGAATCAACAAAACAGAATCATCCAACAACAAAGCAGCCTGACTTCGGATATTTACTTCCATCAGAAATTCCTGTGTTTCCATATCACTTCTGTTTCTTAGGTATTGTGTTTGCTTTGGGGGAACATGAATTACAGATGTTTGGTATAGCATTACATATTGGACTTCAATCGAATTCTTGAGAAAGTCAAAACAAACTGGAATACCACTCAGCAATTAAAAGAAACAAACCACGTACATGCAACAATAGGAAAGAATCTTAAAAACATATTACTGGTAAGAATTCAGACATAACATGTTATATACTGCCTAATTTACTTATGTGACATTCTAGAAAGTACAAATGTCCACATCAATGGTCTCCAGGGGCTGGGAGTGGGAGAGAGGGACTGATGCGAAAGGGCGAAAGGAATTTTCTGAGGTAATGGAAATGGCTATGTCTTCCTTTAATCTAGCACGTGATGTTTACCGGAGGACAATATGGCCTAGGTTGTTGAAGCGATGCTTGGGTGTCACGTGAAGTTTCGATGCTGGGTTAAACTATATTCTTTCTTCTGCTTGATCGAGTCTACTGTTGAACCCCTTATCTTAATTTGTTTAGGCTACTACAACAAAATATCTTAGGGTGGCTTATAAACAATAGAAATGTATTTCTCACAGTTCTGGAGGCTAAGTTCAAGATCATGGTGCTGACAGATTTGGTGTTTGGTGATGGCCCAGTTTCTGGTTCATGGATAACACCTTCTTGCTATGTCCTCACAGAGGGGAAGAGGGTCTCTCATATAAGGCACTAACCCCAATCATGAGGGCCCTGCTTTCAAGACCGAATCACCTCCTAATCCCCAATATTATCATCTTGGGGATTAGGATTTCAACAAAGAAATTTTGGGGGTGGGGCACAAACATTCAGACCATGGCACACTGAAATGCAACTTTGCATTTTTTCCTTCCTCTGAGCCCCTGGCACAACCATTGTTATATTTTCAGCTTCTGTGAGTTTGACTATTTTAGATACCTCATCTGAGTGGAATCATGTGGTATTTAATATTTGTCCGCTAATACTGGTTTATTTTATTTAGCATGATCTCCTCAAGGTGCCTAAAGTTTGATTTTATTTAGCATGATTTCCTCAAGGTTAGGATTTCTAACAGGATTTCCTTATTTCTTAAGGCTGAATAATATATCTTTATGTATATATATATATATACACACATATATATATGTGTGTATATATATATATACACACATATATATATGTATATATATATACACACACGCACACACACACACCCCTATATACTACATTTTCACTTTTTTTGAGACAGGGTCTCACTCTGTTGCCCAGGCTAGAGTACAGGGGCACCATCTCTGCTCACTCTCACTACAATCTCTGCCTCCCGGGGTCAAGCGATTCTCCTGCCTCAGCCTCCCAAGTAGCTAGGATTACAGGCGCCTGCTGCCACGCCCAGCTAATTTTCATATTTTTAGCAGAGATGGGGTTTCATCATGTTGGCCAGGCTGGTCTCGAACCCCTGACCTCAGGTAATCTGCCTGTCTTGTCCTCCCAAATTGCTTGGATTACAGGCGTGAGCCATCACACCCAGCCTATAATACATTTTTCCTTCCTTCCTTCCTTCTTTCTTTCTTTTTCTTTTCTCTCTTTTTTTTTTTTTTTCCAGAGTCTTGTTCTGTCACCCAAGCTGGAGTACAGTGGTACAATCTCAGTCTCAGCTCACTGCAACCTCCACCTTCCAGATTCAAGCGATTCTGGTACCACAGCCTCCTGAGTAGCTGGGATTACAGGTGCATGCCCCCATGCCTGGCTATATTTTGTATTTTTAGTAGAGATGGGATTTCACCATATTGGCCAGGCTGTTCTCAAACTCCTGACCTCAAGCGATCTGCCCACCTGAGCCTCCCAAAGTGCTGAGATTACAGGCGTGAGTCACCACACCTGGCTAATACATGTTCTCTAACCATCCATCTGTCGATGGACATTTAGGATATTTCTACATCTTGGCTGTTAGGAATAATGCTTCATTGAACATGGGAGTGCAAATACATCCTATTTTCAGTTGTTTTGAATAAACATTCAAAAGTGGTATTGCTGGATCACTTGGTAGTTCTATTTTTAATTTTTGAGGAATCTTCAAACTCTTGTCCACAGTGGCTGCGCAATTTTACATCCCCACAAACAGTATATTAAAGTTCTAACTTCTTCACATCCTTGTCAACACTTGTTATTTTCTGTTTTATTTAATGATGCTATCCTAACAGGTGTGCAGTAATATCTCATTGTAGATTTGATTTGCGTTTCTCTGATAATTAGTGATGTTGAACATCTTTTCATATACCTGTTGGCCATTTGTATGTCTTCTTTGGAGAAATGGTTATTCAGTCCTTTGCCCAATTTTTTTAAAAAATGGGTTATCAGTTATTTTTGCTATTGAGTTGTAAGAGTCTCTTATATATTTTGGATATTAATCCCTTATCAGATATATGGTTTGCAAATATTTTCTCCCATTCCATAAGTTGACTCTGTTGATGGCTTCCTTTGCTACACAGAAGCATTTTAGTTTGATGGTGTCTCACTCGTCTATTTTTACTTTTGTTGCCTGTGGTTTTAGGGTCATATCCAAGAAATCAATGTCAAGACCAATGTTATCAAGGTTTTTCCCTATGTCTCCTTCTAGAGTTTTTGTAGTTTCAGGTCATATATATATGTCTTTAATCCATTTTGAGTTGATTTTTGTGTATGGTATAAGATAAGGGTCTAATTACATTTTTTGCATGTGAATAATGTTTTCTCATTTTTAAAAGTTGAGTATTGAAATCTCCCACTGTTATTGTACTGCTATTTCCCTATTCACTTCTATCAATGTTTGCTACATATAATTGGGTCCTTGGATGTTGGTTGCATGTATGTTTATAGCTGTTTATCTTGCTGGTGAATTCACCTTTTTATCAATAAATAATGTCCTTCTTTGTCTTTTGTCATGATTTTTGACTTAAAGTCTATTTTATCTGTCTTTGAGTTCACTGATTCTTTCTTCTGCTTGACTAAGTCTGCTGTCGAACCCCTTATCTTAATTTGTTGGGCTACTATAACAAAACACCTTAGACTGTGTTGCTCATAAACAACAGAAATTTGTTTCTCAAAGTTCTGGAAATCGAGAAGTCCAACATCAAGGTGCCAGCAGATTTGGTGCCTGGTGAGGGCCCACTTTCTTCATAGAGGAAGATCTTTCCACTGTAACTTCACATTGTATTCTGCAGCTCCAGAATTTTTGTTTGGATCTTTTTTATATTTTCTCTTTGTTGACATTCTCATTTTGTTCATGTATCACTTTCTTGAGCTCTTTAAGCATCTTTATAACATCTTGACTTTTTTCAGGCAACTCATATACCTCTGTTTCTTTAGGATCATTTTTTGGAGGTTTATTTTGTTCCTTTGATTGGGCCAGGCTTTCTGTTTCTTTGTATGCCTTGTAACTGTGTTGGGATCTACACATTTGAAAAAACAGCCACCTCTCCCAGTCTTTATGGGCTGACTTTGAACAGGAAAATACCCTCACCAATTATCCCAGCTAGAGATTCTGGGGGTCTCTCAAACTTTTTCTGTGGGTGCATTATCTCTGTCTTTGAGCACATAAATTCTGAATTAGAGGGATTTGCCAGTTTATTTTTGGAGGAGCTCACGATCTCTTGCTCCCTCTGGTGTCTGTCTGCAACACTGAAGATTTTCTGGAGCTGCTTCAAGCTGCCCCATTCTGTTTTGGCTTTAGCAACCTCCAGGCTTCTAGCATATTCCAGGTCCTGTCAGTGCTGTGAGACTAGGGATACAGAAACCAGTGTCTTGGGCAGCTCCCAGAATAGTTGGAACATGGACATACATGGAATTCTTCTCTTTCTACCCCAACGAGGAGGCTATGGAGCTGTGTTGGCCTCTATCTGCTATACCACAGGTCCTCCTAAGCAGTATCAAGCTGCCCAATTCTTTTGTTGTCAGTGGTCCCTACATCTCTATATTGTCAGGTCCTGTCAGTGCTCTGAGACAGGTGAGACAGAAACCAATCCCTTGGCAGCTCCCTGAAAAACTAGAACATTGAACACATGCTCCAGTAATTTTCCTCCCCAGGGAAAAGCCAGGAGTTGGTGGTTTTCTCCTACTTATTTTACAATGAGCCAGGAGGAGCAAGTACATCAAGTGAGTGCTGCAAATCTTCACCTTTGTTCTTAGCAGCCTTCAACCTGACACTCTTTCCTGTCTGCACTTAGATTCAGGCAAGACAGAAACCAGTCCCTTGACCAGCCCCCTAAAGAGTCTGAATGTTGGATGTACTGTCTAGCCTTCTCTTTCCCTCCGCAAGCAGAAGACAGTAGCTAGAAGTTTTCTTTTGATAATTCACACTGAAATGGGAGAAAGGACTATGGTGAGTGAGTGCCATGAGTTTTTCTACTGGCTTTAGTGAGGCTGGTTTTGCCTTCCCTTGAAGTGCAGGAACCTCCTAACTTGTTTCTGGTTTTCTTATAAAGGGAATTGATTTATGTATTCTTGTTGATTCAGTGTCTCCCCGCAGGGAAGTAGAGTCTGGCCCTTCCTATTCTGCTATCTTGCTGACATAACCCCTTAGATGGTTTATATTTTGTGGTTTGCATCTTAATTTGCCAACACTCAGCAAAGTATAAATTTTACTGTATGAAAATTATACATATTTTACTGTATGAAAATTATACATAATTATGTATGTAAATTATACTTCAATGAATATGACTTAAAATAAACTAATAAAAAAATTAATGTAACAAAAAGTTTAAAAAAATCCAAACAACGATATAACCTAAACTCTCCTGGATATTCTCCCTTGATACCCAGCAATTTATGTATCATTAAGTTCCATTTAGAATACGGCTTTGTATCGATAAAATTTTCTTTTCTTTATATTTTTTTGGTAGAGATAGGATCTTCGCCATATTAGCCAGGCTGGTCTTGTACTCCTGGACTCAAGCAATCTGTTCACCTCGGCTTCCCAAAGTGTTGAGATTACAGGCGTGAGCCACTAAAATAGGCCAAAATTTTCGAATGTATGGTCTGTGCTTACCTCTGGTTTAAATTTTTTTTCTTTCTATTCTCAAGTATGATTTTAACCAAATTCTAAAATTTTCAATACCATGGAGAAGATATCATACAGGGTTCATCATTTCTAAATAAAAAGTAAATTTCATTCTACATTCATCACTGCATTCTCAGTGCCTGAAAAATGTCTGGTACATAATAACGTTCAGTAATTTTAAAAAATATATAAATGAATAGAATGTCCTTTGACAATTCACTGTCAAAGTGGTTAAGAAAATTAGGCTTCAGAGTTAGCTCCTGTTTTTGAATCTTGACTTTGCCAGTTAGAAGCTGTGTGGCCTTGGGTAGTCTGAGGCTCATTACCTCTGTTTGCAAAAGGGGATAATAATAATGCTTATGTCACATGAAAAGTGCTTGGCTTAATGAGAGCTTAACAAATGACACACTTCCCTTGTCTAAGTGTTGTTATTCAAATAATAATTTCTCATCAATTCTTTCCTACACATTTTCTTAATTGGCTGATTACTAGCAATCTGTGTTCATTCCAATCAATTTTGAGGAGACTTGAAATGCCAACAAAACTGTTTCTTTACAGCATTTCACTTTTACTCTCAAATATAATTACATTACTCATTTCCACTTTTAGCAGTTGATAGAACCTAGCAAATGACCAACATAAACTATGCCTTCAATAAATGTCATGTTCCTTATTCACATATTTATACCCACTGTGTTTAATTTTCTCAAAGTTCTTCACTTGGTACAAGAACTATATTAGAGTGGAGCCACCTCATCTCATCTATTCCTATCTCATTCCACTTGCTTTCCTGTTCACAAGCCTGACCCTAGCGGGCTTCTGGTCTGATTTCCTCTTGTTTCTCCAGTTCTAGTTTCCAGGAGGCTTTAGCTTCTGGCTCTGTTCTCTTGGGCTCCTCACCTTAGCTCTCCTTACAACCACTATTACTGATGAATCATAGGATATCTTTCTCCTCCATGCCTCATCCACCATCCACTGTCATGAAAGAAAAGCAACAGTTGATATCCTGCAGGCCCAGACGTTGACAGTGTTTGTTATATTTGCTTCAAGCTGTTGTTTTATTTCTATTAACAATAACTTATTATATATGTATGTACAGTATATTATTAAATATATTTATGTTGTAGGAAAAACTGGGTTCTTGTCACACGACCAAGAAAGATTGTTATGCGTGTCCGTGTGAAGAGACTGCCAAACAGGCTTTGTGTGAGCAATAAAGCTTTTTAATCACCTGGGTACGGGCGGACTGAGTCCGAAAAAGGAGTCAGCAAAGGGAGACAGGTGTGGGGCAGCTTTACAGGATTTGGGTAGGTAGTGGAAAATTACAGTTAAAGGGGATTGTTCTCTTGTGGGCAGGGGCAGGGGTCACAAGGTGCTCAGTGGGGAGCTCCTGAGATTCATTGTCCAGGAGAAGGAATGTCACAAGGACAATTGATCATTAGGGTGGGGCAGCAACAAATCTCTATGGTGGAATGTCATCAGTTAAGGCAGGAACTGGCTGTTTTCACTTCTTTTGTGGTTTTTCAATTGCTTCAGGCCATTTGGATGTGTTCGTGCAGGTCACAGGGGATATGATGGCTTAACTCGGGCTCAGAGGCCTGACAAAGATTAGGCTTGCAGACACTTTAAAGGGTGAAGAGGAACAGAATGTATTGGCTGAAAGGGAAAAACAACACAGCAAAATGCGATGAAGCCCTGCTAACAGGCTCTCCACCTCACCAATTGAATCCCAGGTTTCCGCACAGGAACAGGAGGGGCCAGGCTCCTTCCGACTACAAATGGCGTAAACTTCCGTGGCTCCACCCCGTTCTCCCAGTGCGCAGGCTGGTTGGAGATGCTCTGGTGGCCCCTTTATACTTGGCTGTCTCCTTTATATATAGTAATTTATAATATTTAATATTTCTATAATAATTTATTTCTTTGGCAAATATTTAATATACTTATCACAGAAAGACAATATTACAGATAGTGTTGAAGCTCCCCCTTCCCTATGAATCTAAAAGTTTTCTTTTTGAACTAAAACTTTGCTCATTGTTTTAGAGTGATGCATGTGTGACTGAAAATTACTTGGTAAAATTTAAGTAGCTCCTAAAGAGTGTGGTGATGAGATCAGCTTAGGAGTCCTTCTCTTCTCTCTTTTTTTGAAGCATGCCTACCAGAAGCTTCTGGTAGGGGGCCACACTATGAGAATTACTTACAGTTTTACTCCTACTCTAATTATCCTCACTTAACGCAACTCAAAATTTGCATAAATCAACAAAGCTTCAGAATGCATTTCTGCTGCTCTTCAACAAGACCTGGAGACTGACACTCACTTCTATACAATAAAAGCAGGCAGATGATTTAGCTTTATTGAACCATAAACTTTTGTGACAGAACCAATTTCCTTCTTTTTCATTCTTCCCCTTTTAGGAAAAGCATATTTTTATTTGTTTGTTTTATAGCAAAATATTACATTAGTTTTGCCTTGAGATGAAGTCAAAATTAGCAACAGAAAGTTTTCTTGATCTTGTAGACCCTCCATCTGAATAGGAAGCTAATGCTGGAGAGACCTGACACTTCATTTCCAGTAGAGTTAGGGCTGAGCAGGAATTGATGCAGGCAGGAAGGGATGGAAAAAAGACCCTAAGAAATGGAAGGGGTCTGAGGCTATCCCTTCTGAAGCACATTCCATTCCAGACAGAAAGGTGATAGGAAAATGGAAGGACCATTTTTTTTTATTGTACTTTAAGTTCTAGGGTACATGTGCACAACGTGCAGGTTTGTTACATATGTATACATGTGCCATGTTGGTGTGCTGCACCCATTAACTCGTCATTTACATTAGGTATATCTCCTAATGCTATCCCTCCCCGCTCCCGCCACCCCATAATAGGCCTCGGTGTGTGATGTTCCCCTTCCTGTGTCCAAGTGTTCTCATTGTTCAATTCCCACCTATGAGTGAGAACATGCGGTGTTTGGTTTTCTGTCCTTGTGATAGTTTGCTAAGAATGATGGTTTCCAGCTTCATCTGTGTCCCTACAAAGGACATGAACTCATCCTTTTTATGGCTGCATAGTATTCCATGGTGTACATGTGCCACATTTTCTTAATCCAGTCTATCATTGTTGGACATTTGGGTTGGTTCCAAGTCTTTGCTATTGTGAATAGTGATGCAATAAACATACGTGTGCATGTGTCTTTAAAGCAGCATGATTTATAATCCTTTGGGCATATAACCAGTAATGGGATGGCTGGGTCAAAGGGTATTTCTAGTTCTAGATCCTTGAGGAATCGCCACACTGTGGAAGGACTATTTTAAAGCAACGGCTCTCAAGCTTTAATCCATATCAGAAAATATAGATTGTTGAGTCCCATCACCAGAGATTCTGAAGCCTTAGGCCTAGGGCCACTGGAGAATTAAAATTTCTAACAAATTTCCAGGGGACACTGGTGTTGCTGGTCTGGGGACCACATTATGAGAACCACTATTTTATACCAATCCCAATACCCAGGTCTATGCATAAATGCATAACATAAGATTCTCTTTTGTGTAACAAACTGAACCTCTGTAAGCTTCCGGATATTATTGTCATAACTATGGGTAACACATTGCAGTGGGATCATTATGATTCCCTTAAAATATTTTAACCTGTGCTCAAAAACAAAATGTCAGGCCTCTAAGCCCAAGCTAAGCCATCATATCCCCTGTGACCTGCACGTACACAACCAGATGGCCGGTTCCTGCCTTAACTGATGACATTCCACCACAAAAGAAGTGAAAATCATCTGTTCCTGCCTTAACTGATGACATTCTCTTGTGAAATTCCTTCTCCTGGCTCATCCTGGCTCAAAAACTCCCCTACTGAGCACCTTGTGACCCCCACTCCTACCCGCCAGAGAACAACCCCTTTGACTGTAATTTTCCTTTACCTACCCAAATCCTATAAAACGGCCCCACCTCTATCTCCTTTCACTGACTCTCTTTTCAGACTCAGCCCACCTGCACCCAGGTGATTAAAAGCTTTATTGCTCACACAAAGCCTGTTTGGTGGTCTCTTCACACAAACGTGCGTGAAATTTGGTGCCATGACTCAGATTGGGGGACCTCCCTTGGGAGATCAATCCCCTGTCCTCCTGCTCTTTGCTCTGTGAGAAAGATCCACCTATGACCTCAGGTCCTCAGACCAACCAGCCCAAGAAACATCTCACCAATGTCAAATCCAGTAAGCGGCCTCTTTTTACTCTCTTCTGCAACCTCCCTCACTATCCCTCACCCTCTTTCTCCTTTCAATCTTGGCGCCACACTTCAATCTCTCCCTTCTCTTAATTTCAATTCCTTTCATTTTCTGGTAGAGACAAAGGAGACACGTTTTATCCATGGACCCAAAACTCCAGCGCCGGTCATGGACTGGGAAGGCAGCCTTCCCTTGGTGTTTAATCATTGCAGGGACGCCTCTCTGATTATTCATCCATGTTTCAGAGGTGTCAGACCATGCAGGGACGCCTGCCTTTGTCCTTCACCTTTAGTGGCAAGTCCCACTTTTCTGGGAGAGGGGCAAGTACCCCAACCCCTTCTCTCCATGTCTCTACCCCTTCTCTGCTTTTCTGGATGGGCAAGAACCCCTCAACACCTTCTCCTTCACCCTTAGTGGCAAGTCCCACTTTTCTAGGGGGCAAGAATCCCCAATCCCTTATTTCCATGCCCCAACCTCTTATCTCTGTGCCCCAATACCTTATTTCTATGCCCTGACCTCTAATCTCTGCACCCCAATCCCTTATTTCCATGACCCAACCTCTTATCTCTGTGCCCTGATCCCTTATTTCCACACCCCGACCTCTTATCTCTGTGCCCCAATCCCTTATTTCCACATTCTGACCTCTTATCTCTGCACCCCAACCCCTTATTTCCATGCCCTGACCCCTTTCCCGCTTTTCTGAAGGGTAAGAACCCCCGAGCCCCTTCCCTCCATGTCTCTACGCTTCTCTTTAAACTTGCCTCCTTCACTATAGGCAAACTTCCACCTTCCATTCCTCCTTCTTCTCCCTTAGCCTGTGTTCCTAAGAACTTAAAACCTCTTCAACTCTTGCCTGACCTAAAGTCTAAGCATCTTGTTTTCTTCTGAAATGCCACTTGACCCCAATACAAACTAGACAGTAGTTCCAAATAGCCAGAAAATGGCACTTTCAATTTTTCCATCCTACAAGATCTAAATACTTCTTATCATAAAATGGGCAAATGGTCTGAAGTGCCTGATGTCCAGGCATTCTTTTACACATCGGTCCCTCCCTAGTCTCTGTTCCTGAAGCAACTCATCCCAAATCTTCCTTCTTTCCCTCCCGCCTGTCCCCAGTCCCAACCCCAAGCGTTGCTAAGTCTTTCTAATCTTCCTTTTCTACAGACCCATCTGACCTCTCCCCTCCTTGCCAGGCTGAGCTAGGTCCCAATTCTTCCTCAGCCTCCACTCCTCCACCCTATAATCCTTTTATCTCCTCCCTTCCTCACACCTGGTCCGGCTTACAGTTTCGTTCCGTGACTAGCCCTCCCCCACCTGCCCAGCAATTTACTCTTAAAAAGGTGGCTGCAGCTAAAGGCATAGTCAAAGTTAATGCTCCTTTTTCTTTATCCCAAATCAGAAGCGTTTAGGCTCTTTTTCATCAGATATAAAAACCCAGCCCAGTTCATGGCTCGTTTGGCAGCAACCCTGAGATGCTTTACAGCCCTAGACCCTAACAGGTCAAAAGGCCGTCTTATTCTCAATATACATTTTATTACCCAATCTGCTCCCAACATTAAATAAAACTCCAAAAATTAAATTCCGGCTCTCAAACCCAACAACAGGACTTAATTAACCTCGCCTACTAGGTGTACAATAACAGAGTAGAGGCAGCCAAGTAGCAACACATTTCTGAGTTGCAATTCCTTGCCTCCACTGTGAGACAAACCCCAGCCACATCTCGAGCACACAAGAACTTCCAAACACCTAAACCGCAGTGGCCAGACGTTCCTCCAGGCCCGCCTCCCCCAGGAGCTTGCTACAAGTGCCAGAAATCTGGCCACTAGGCCAAGGAATGCCCGCAGCCCGGGATTCCTCCTAAGCCGCGTCCCATCTGTGTGGGACCCCACTGAAAATCGCACTGTTCAACTCACCTGGCAGCCACTCCCAGAGCCCCTGGAACTCTGGCCCAGGGCTCTCTGACTGACTCCTTCCCAGATCTTCTCGGCTTAGCGGCTGAAGACTGACGCTGCCCGATCACCTCAGAAGCCCCGTAGACCATCACGGACGCCGAGCTTCAGGTAACTCTCACAGTGGAGGGTAAGTCCGTCCCCTTCTTAATCAATACGGAGGCTATGCACTCCACATTACCTTCTTTTCAAGGGCCTGTTTCCCTTGCCTCCATAACTGTTGTGGGTATTGACGGCCAGGCTTCTAAACCTCTTAAAACTCCCCAACTCTGGTGCCAACTTAGACAATACTCTTTTAAGCACTCCTTTTTAGTTATCCCCACCTGCCCAGTTCCCTTATTAGGCCGAGACACTTTAAGTGATCTGCTTCCCTGACTATTCCTGGACTACAGCTACATCTCATTGCCACCCTTCTTCCCAATCCAAAGCCTCCTTTGCATCCTCCTCTTGTATCCCCCCACCTTAACCCACAAGTATAAGATACCTCTACTCCCTCCTTGGCGACCGATCATGCACCCCTTACCATCTCATTAAAACCTAATCACCCTTACCTCGCTCAATGCCAATATGGCATCCCACAGCACACTTTAAAAGGATTTAAAGTAGCAGCCTGTTATCACTCGCCTGCTACAGCATGGCCTTTTAAAGCCTATAAACTCTCCTTACAATTCCCCCATTTTACCTGTCCTAGAGGCTTACAGGTTAGTTCAGGATCTGCGCCTTATCAACAAAATTGTTTTGCCTCTCCACCCCGTGGTGCCAAACCCATATACTCTCCTATCCTCAATACTTCCCTCGACAACCCATTATTCTGTTCTAGATCTCAAATATGCTTTCTTTACTATTCCTTTGCACCCTTCATCCCAGCCTCTCTTTGCTTTCACTTGGACTGACCCTGACACCCATCAGGCTCAGCAAATTACCTGGGCTGTACTGCCGCAAGTCTTCACAGACAGCCCCCATTACTTCAGTCAAGCCCAAATTTCTTCCTCATCTGTTACCTATCTCAGCGTAATTCTCATAAAAACACACATGCTCTCCCTGCCGATCATGTCCAGCTGATCTCTCAAACCCCAACACCTTCTACAAAACAATAACTCCTTTCCTTCCTAGGCATGGTTAGATACTTTCGACTTTAGATACCTGGTTTTGCCATCCTAACAAAACCATTATATAATCTCGAAAAAAGAAACCTAGCTGACCCCATAGATCCTAAATCCTTTCCCCACTCCTCTTTCCATTCCTTGAAGACAGCTTTAGAGACTGCCCCCACCCTAGCTCTGACTCACCCCAACCCTTTTCATTACCCACAGCCGAAGTGCAGGGCTGTGCAGTTGGAATTCTTACACAAGAACTGGGACCGCGCCCTGTAGCCTTTTTATCCAAACAACTTGACCTTACTGTTTTGCCTAGCCCTCAAGTCTGTGTGTGGCAGCCACCGCTGCCCTAGTACTTTTAGAGGCCCTTAAAATCACAAACTGTGCTCAACTCACTCTCTACAGTTCTCATAACTTCCAAAATCTATTTTCTTCCTCACACCTGATGCATATACTTTCTGCTTCCCGGCTCCTTCAGCTGTACTCACTCTTTGTTGAGTCTCCCACAATTACCATTGTTCCTGGCCCAGACTTCAATCCAGCCTCCCACGTTATTCCTGATACCACACCTGACCCCCATGACTCTATCTCTCTGATCCACCTGACATTCACCCCATTTCCCCATATTTCCTTCTTTCCTGTTCCTTACCCTGATCACACTTAGTTTATTGATGGCAGTTCCACCAGGCCTAATGGCCACACACCAGCAAAAGCAGGCTATGCTATAGTACAAGCCACTAGCCCGCCTCTTAGAACCTCTCATTTCCTTTCCATCGTGGAAATCTATCCTCAAGGAAACAACTTCTCAGTGTTCCATCTGCTATTCTACTACTCCTCAGGGATTATTCAGGCACCCTCCCTTCCCTACACATCAAGCTCGAAGATTTGCCCCCGCCCAGGACTGGCAAATTGGCTTTACTCAACATGCCCTGAGTCAGAAAACAAAAATACCTGTTAGTCTAAGTAGACACTTTCACTGGATAAGTAGAGGCCTTTCCTACAGGGTCTGAGAAGGCCACCACAGTCATTTCTTCCTTTCTATCAGACGTAATTCCTCAATTTAGCCTTCCCACCTCTATACAGTCTGATAACAGACCAGCCTTTATTAGTCAAATCAGCCAAGCAGTTTTTCAGGCTCTTGGTATTCAGTGAAACCTTTATATCCCTTACAGTCCTCAGTCTTCAGGAAAAGTAGAACGGACTAAAGGTCTTTTAAAAACACACCTCACCAAGCTCAGCCACCAATTTAAAAAGGAATGGACAATACTTTTACCACTTTCCCTTCTCAGAATTCAGGCCTGTCCTCAGAATGCTACAAGGTACAGCCCATTTGAGCTCCTGTATAGATGCTCCTTTTTATTAGGCCCCAGTCTCATCCCAGACACCAGACCAACTTAGACTGTGCCCCCAAAAAACTTGTCATCCCTACTATTTTCTGTCTAGTAATACTCCTATTCACCGTTCTCAACTACTCATAAATGCCCTGCTCTTGTTTACACTGCCAGTTTACACTGTTTCTCCAATCACAGCTGATATCTCCTGGTGCTATACCCAAACCGCCGCTCTTAAAGTAAATAAATAATCTTTGCTGGCAAGGCTATGCTGAACCTCCTTAGGCACTCTCTAATTAGATGTCCTAGGTCCTCCCAATTCTTAGTCCTTTAATACCTGTTTTTCTCCTTCTCTTATTCTGTTTAGTTTTTTCAATTCATACAAAACCGTATCCAGGCCATCACTAATAATTCTACACGACAAATGTTTCTTCTAACAACCCCACAATATCACCCCTTACCACAAAATCTTCCTTCAGCTTAATCTCTCCCACTCTAGGTTCCCACGCCGCCCGTAATCCCGCTCGAAGCAGCCCTGAGAAACATCACCCATTATCTCTCCATACTACCTCTAAAAATTTTCGCCGCCCCAACACTTTACTATTTTGTTTTATTTTTCTTATTAATATAAGAATACAGGAATGTCAGGCCTCTGAGCCCAAGCTAAGCCATCATATCCCCTGTGACTTGCAGGTACACATCCAGATGGCTGGTTCCTGCCTTAACTGATGACATTCCACCACAAAAGAAGTGAAAATGGCCTGTTCCTGCCTTAACTGATGACATTCTCTTGTGAAATTCCTTCTCCTGGCTCATCCTGGCTCAAAAGCCCCTAAAACGGCCCCACCCCTATCTCCTTTCGCTGACTCTCTTTTCGGACTCAGTCCGCCTGCACCCAGGTGATTAAAAGCTTTATTGCTCACACAAAGCCTGTTTGGTGGTCTCTTCACACGGACATGAATGAAACAAAACTCTTGGCATCCAAATTAAGCCATCAAAGCCTCAGCTTCCACAGTCAAGGCTCTTTTAGAATTTGCCTAGTGGGTTTTCTGGTGAAAACTAGACTGCCCCCAAAAAGTGTGGGCTACCTTTTATCACTGACCTTTGCTTGAGTCCCTTTCTAGACATTATTAGATGGCAACAAAGAATGGAAAAGCACAAATTAAACTGATATCCCATGTGCTGACTGATCCAGATTCAAGTGGTAACTGAGACAACTGAAGACTGAAAATAAAATGGCTTCCTGTCGACAGCACCCTGGTCTTGCTGCATACTTGCTGCTTTTGTGTTCTCATTATTAATACAGAATTCCGGCCTTTTAAAAAAAGTATTGCATGTGAGTATGGATCAATTGCTATAAAGTTGAATTTGTATAAGAAGCATGCTGTGTAACCCAGGAAGCACATTCATCTTCAATGTAGTAATAATGCCTTTCCTATGTGCCAGTTGCCATTTGTTTTACAGGTGTTAATTCGTGTACTCCTCAGAACAACCCTGTGAAGGGGGTACTACATTTATAAAGGAGGAAACAGGCACAGAGAGGTTGAGGTATGTACTGAAGGTCACACAGTAAGTGGCACAGCCAGGATGTTAGCTCAAGTAGTCTGCATCCTGTCTGAGCTCTTAACCACTAAGATATATGAGCCCTCATGGTCCCATAGACTCAGCTACTTTATCTCTGGCTTCATGCCTTCAATTTCCCTTTTTTAAATTTTATTTTATTTTATTTTTGATACAGAGTCTTGTTCTGTCACCCACGCTGGAGTGCAGTGGTGCAATCATGGCTCACTGCAGCCTCAACCTCCTAGGCTCAAACCATCTTCCCACTTAGCTTTCTGAGTAGCTGGGACTACAGGCGTGCCACCACGCAGGGCTTTTTTTTTTAACTTTTTTTTAGAGACATGGTCTCGCCATGTTGCCCAGGCTAGTCTCTAACTCCTGGGCTTAAGTGATCCTCCTGTCTCTGCCTCACCTCCTAAAGTACAGGTGAGAGCCACCACTCCCAACCCCAGGAGTCTTGCTCTGTCACCCAGGCTGGAGTGGCAGTGGCGTGATCTTGGCTCACTGCAACCTCTGCCTCCTGGGTTCAAGTGATTCCCCTGCCTCAGCCTCCTGAGTAGTTGGGATTACAGGCGCCTACCACCACATCCAGCTACTTTTTGTATTTTTAGTAGAAACAGGGTTAACCATGTTGCCCAGGCTGGTTTCGAACTTCTGACCTCAACTAATCTGCCTGACTCGGCCTCCCAAAGTGCTGGGACTTCAGGTGTGTGCCACTGTGCCTGGCCCCAATTTCCCTTCTTGAAGCTCTGTCATCTTCCTATCTTCCTCATGTGCTCCACCGCTCAGTTTCAGAGTTGAGATGGACTGACCCAGTCATAATTTTCCAGTCCTTCCTAGTGTCTTCTCATAGCATGCCCCTAGTAGAGACAAGAGCACTCATCTTATGATACACATTTAGTTGGTTACATGCCCATCTTTTTGGGGGGACTCTTTAAGGGGAGACATCTTATCTTATTCCTCTTTTATATCCTCCACTGCTTATACTAGACCTGGCAAGTAGCAAATGCCAATTAACTGAAGATATATCACTACCCTTTCTCCACACTCTTTATTTTCCTTCTTTCCTTTATTTTTCACAGTACTTAGACCTCTAATATACTATTTGTTTTTTAATTTAAAAAGTTTTCTTACTACGTGGCTGTAAGACATGCTTATTTTGGCTTTAATAGATAGGTCAATTTTCCAAAATGGTTGTGCCAATTTACAATCCTACCAGCAATGTATGAGATTCCAAACTGCTCCAAATCATTGCCAACCCTTGAAATTGACAAGTCATTTTTAATTCTAGCCATTCTGGTGATCTGGGGTAGTGGTATTCAACTGTGGTTTTAATGTGCACATTTCAATTAGCACCTTTTCATGTGCTTTGTGGCCATTTGTATAGCCTGTATTGTGAAGACATTATTGTGTTCAAGCGTTTTGCCTACATTTTTTAAAAGTTGTGTTGTCTATCATTTTCTTATTGATCTATGGAAGTTCTTTATATATTTTCTATATGAATTCTTTCTATACACAAGAATGTATATGTATATTTAAAATTGACTCAGCCAATTCACTCTTAATTTCTAATAAAAAATGTAAATTTCTATATAAAAAATATATAATTGACTCAGCCAATTCACTCCTGAGTTCAGAGAAATTAGTAATGTGATCAGTTATATATATGTATAAGAACGTTCATAGCAACTTTATTCCCAATATCCCCAAACTGGAAGCAATAAAATGTCCAGGAGAACAATAAAAAAATTATGGCATATTTATAATACAGAATATAATACAACGAAAAATAAATTTCAGTTACGTGCAACTACATGGCGAATCGCAGGTAAAATTTTGAGTGAAAGAAGCCAACACAAAACAGTACCTCCCATATAATACCATTACTGGTTTTCTTATATATAATTTCATTAATTATATGGAATGTAGTGTTTTGTGTCTGGCTCTTTCACTCACAAAACTAATATATACTGATACAAATCAGAATAATAGTTATCTTTGGAGGCTTATTACTTTTAGAAGGGAAACAAGGAAACCTTCTTAAAGGCTGAAAATATCCTTTCTCTATCTTGATATGGGTATCGGTTACAAATATGTAAAAGTTAATTAAACTGTTCTTAAGTTTGTATTGGTTATATCCCAGTTAAAAATAAAGTTTTTAAGGAATGTTTATATATATATATATGTCAGGTACTGTGGCTCACGCCTATAATCCCACCACTTAGAGATCACCAATCTGCCGAGGTAGGTGGATTGCTTGAGCCCAAGAGTTCAAGACCAGCCTGGCCAACATGGTGAAATCCCATCTCTACAAAAAATACAAAAATTATCTGGGCATGGTAGTGCAAGATTGTAGTCCCAGCTACCCAGGCCTGGGACTGAGGTCCTGAGAATCACTTGAGCCTGGGAGGTCAAGGCTGCAGTGAGCTGTGATCACACCACTGTACTCCAGCCTGGGCGAAAAAGTGAGACTCTGTCTCAAAAAAGAAAATAATGTGTTTATTTTCTGTCTCCTCCTTCTTGCCTCATGAGGGCCAGGACTTCTGACTATGATTGTATACCCAATGTCTAGGGTAGCACCTGTTATATAGTAGGTGCTCAGTATTGAATGAATTGACATGTTAATGCATGTGTGCCTGCTCAGTGTCCTTATTGAAATAGCACCCACTGTTAGGCACAACCAGACTTTTCTGTTTTATCTGCTTTCCTTCAAACATCTTCCTGGTTAATTAAATCACATTTAGAAAGGATTAGTCTGTAGAAAGAGCCCACATAGAGGTGAGACGGAAAACCACACTGGCATTATTCTGAGAGGAGCTGCGTGGTGATGTGCAGTTCCCAGGGCTTCAGGGAACACCACAGCACATTTTCAGTGAACATGTCTAGACAGCTGAGCAGTTGAATCATATGCATAGTTACAGGAATATGTATATGTTCCTGTATGCAGGAACTTTGGCTTTAATCAAAACAAGGATTTTAACAAGAGTTCAGCAGTTAATCTATAAAAAGAAAGAGAGTGAAGAGGAAGAGTGAAATATATACAAAAAGTTGATATAAGACAAAAGTGGTATTTTAAATTCTGTTGGGAACTTGCTGGTTAGTTTGAAAAATAATACTGGGATAATTGGTTATGCCGAAAATAAGTTAGCCTCTTATTCGTGCCTTGTATAAAATTAAATTCTGGATAGATTAAATATCCAAATGTAAGAAAGAAAATATTTAAAAAATATTCAGGAGAACATACTTATATATTTAAGAGTATGGGAGACACATGCTTTAAGCATTATATGAAATCTAAAAGCCAGAAGAGAAAAGATGAACAGGTATGGAGTGAATATAACAAAGAGTCAATTTTCCTTGTAAATATAAAAGCTTTTAAAGATTGATAAGAAAGAAAGAAAATAACCTAAGAGAAAAATGTGCTAAATATATGAACAGAAAATTCAAAGAAAAGCGTGTAAGTAAAAATATTAAATCTCCCTAGCAGTCATAAAAATACAAATTAAAACAATAAGATGCCATTATTTTATCAATAATTGGCAACAACAATTTGTTTTTTTATTTTCTTGGTTCTATAGGGCTTTTTGGACATACTCATTCATGAGTATGTCCAAATGCCTCTTCCAAATGCCTTTGGAAGAGGCCAGGCATGGTGGCTCACACCAGTAATCCCAGCAATTTGGGAGGCCAAGGCAGGCTGATTAGTTGAAGTCAGGAGTTCGATACCAGCTTGGCCAACATGGTGAAACCCCATCTCTACTAAAAATACAAAAATTAGCCGGGCGTGGTGGTGCCCACCTGTGGTCCCAGCTACTCAGGAGGCTAAGATGGGAGGATCGCTTGAACCTAGGAGGTGGAGGCTGCAATGAGCCAAGATTGTGCCACTGCACTCCAGCCTGGGCAACAGAGTGGAACTCCATCTCAAATAATAAAAAATATAATAATAATAATAATAAATGTCTTTGGAGGAGTAAACTGGAATTTAATATTTCCTCTGAGAATTGGAGGACTAATGGTTGAAAACTTCAAATAAGTAGCGCAGGTTAGAAACATGACAAAAAAGAAAGGCAGCTGCTTAAAAATATAAATGCAATGCCTCAGTCTCTCTCCTACTGCTAGCTTACCGGATGAAACCCACTTTGAGATTCTGCTTTTAAATGCCCTGCCTCCACAACCTCCATACATTCTTGCCTCCCAATATTTGCTGGGAACAAAATCTTAAAGGAATGTTTTTATTTACCACTTATTAAGTAAAAGTAGACAAAGCTTGTAACTAAGGCAAAGAGAAGATAGAATGTTCTCTTTTTAACGTTTATGTTTTTATTTTTATTATTTATTTGAGACAGGGTCTCGCTTTGTCACAGCCCAGGCTGGGGTGCAGTGGCACAATCTCCACTCACTGCAACCTCCGCCTCCTGCAGTGAAGCTATGCTCCCTCCCTCCTCACCTTCCCAAGTAGCTGGTATTACAGGAGCCCACCACCATGCCCGGCTAATTTTTGTATTTTTAGTGGAGACAGGGTTTCACCATGTTGGCCAGGCTTATCTCGAGCCCCTGGCCTCAAGTAATCTGCCTGCCTCAGTCTCCCCAAATGCTGGGATTGAGGTGTGAACCCCTGCACTCGGCCAGCATGTCCTTTTGATTGTGTAACTGGTCCACCCAAGGATTGATCATTTAGGGGAAAGTATTATTATTTGACTTGCTATTCACTATTTATTAAAGATCTAAACTTTGTGAAGTTACATATTAATTTATAAGTTTTTGCCTGTTAGCAAAATGATTTGTGTTCAATAGAAAAGATAACCCTAATGATTATGGTTTTATTGTCCTGTAGGATATTAACCAATGTTTAAACCTAACCTAAACTTATTCTAACATTCTTTTTCAAATTCCTATATATACTGAGTTTCTCAAATATTCTTTGGACCAGCTTTATCATCATGCTAATTCTCTCATTAATAAATTGAACAAATCCTCATATAAGCCATGTTTTGAATTTTTTGAAAATTTCCTTTGGCTAGGCATGGTGGCTCATGCCTGTAATCCCAGCACTTTGAGAAGCTGAGGCAGGAGGATCCCTTGAGCCCAGAGTTCGAGACCAGCCTGGCCAACATGGTGAAACCCTGTCTCTACCAAAAATACAAAAATTAGCCAGGTGTGTTAACATGCACCTGTAGTTCCAGCTAGTTGGGAGGCTGAGGTAGGAGGATGGTTTGAGTACGGGAGACAGAGGTTGCAATGAGCCAAGATTGTGCCACTGCAGTCTAGCCTGAACGACAGAGCCAGATCTTGTCTCAAAAAAAAAAAAATTAAAAATTAAAAAAAGAAAATGTATTTTGGCACTCTCTTTTGAAAATTTTACCCAATCTTCAAAGCCCAGCTCAATGCTTGTATTAGTCCATTTTCACACTGTTGATAAAGACACACCTGAAACTGGGTAGTTTATAAAGAAAAAGAGGTTTAATGGACCCACAGTTCCACATGGCTGGGGAGGCCTCACAATCATGGTGGAAGGTGAAAGGTACATCTTACATGGCAGCAGACAAGAGAGAATGAGAGCCAAGCAAAAGGGGAAACCCCTTATCAAACCATCAGATCTCATGAGACTTACTGCCATGAGAACAGTATGGGGGAAACTGCCCCCATGATTCAATTATCTCCCACCGGGTCCTTCCCACAACACATGGGAATTATGGGAGCTACAATTCAAGATTAGATTTGGGTGGGGACATAGCCAAACTATAACAATGCTCATTTTTTTCCCAATGCATATATATTTTTTTAATTTCGGAAGGTTTTTGGGGAACAGGTGGTGTTTGGTTACATGGATAAGTTCTTTAGTGGTAATTTTTGTCAATACTCATTTTCCCAAAGAAAACTTGCTTAACTCCTCCAGATGATCTCTTCCTGCACTGAACTCCTATAGTAGTTTTTTCAACTAGGCATCCTAGGGTTTCTTGAAGGTGTCAGGGAAGTTAGGGAAGGAAGAAACATGAAAAGTGAGGGAAAAGAGGTAGTGATGGTTGACCAAATGGGACCTAGGTTTCTTTTTGTTTGTTTGTTTTTTGGTTTTGTTTTGCTTTTTGAGATGGAGTTTTGCTCTTGTCACCCAGGCTGGAGTGCAATGGCACGATCTGGGCTCACTGCAACCTCCACCACCCAGGTTCAAGCAATTCTCCTGCCTCAGCCTCCTGAGTAGCTGGGATTATAGATGCCTGCCACCACGCCTGGCTAATTTTTGTATTTTTAGTAGAGACAAGGTTTCACCATGTTGGCCAGGCTGGTCTTAAACTCTTTTTTTTTTTTTTTTTAGGTGGAGTCTCACTCTGTCGCCCAGGCTGGAGTGCAGTGGTGCGGTCTCGGCTCACTGCAAGCTCCACCTTCCAGGTTCATGCCATTCTCCTGCCTCAGCCTCCCGAGTACCTGGGACTACAGGCACGCGCAACCACACCCAGCTAATTTTTTTTGTATTTTTAGTAGAGATGGGGTTTCACCGTGTTAGCCAGGATGGTCTCGATCTCCTGACCTCAAGATCCACCAACCTCGTCCTCCCAAAGTGCTGGGATTACAGGCGTGAGCCACCATGCCCAGCCCATTTTTTTAATATATATATTGCTTTTCTTGTAAAATAATTTGGAAACCCCTGTCCTATAGCAGGAGTCAGAAAACTGTATCTGTAAAGGATTGGCAAAAATATTTGCTAACTACCCATTTGACAAGAGAATAATGCTAAAATACGTAAGGAGCTCAAACAACTCAATTGCAAAAAAACACAAACAATTCAATTTAAAAATGGGCAAAAGATCCAAATAGACATTTCTCAAAAGAAGATATACAAATGACCAACAGTTACATTAAAAAAATGCTCAATCATCAGAGAAATGCAAATCAAACTACAATGAGATATCACCTCATCCCAGTTAAAATAACTCTTATCAAAAACACAGGCAATAACGAATGCTGGAGAGGATGTGGGAAGAGGGAAACTCTTGTACACTGCTAGGAAGAACAGTATAGAGTACAGACACTAGGAAGAACAGTATAGAGATTCCTCAAAAAACTAAAAACAGAGGTAGCATATGATGCAGCAATTCCACCACTGGGTCTATATTCAAAAGAAAGAAAATCAACATATCAAAAAGACATCTACACTCTCATTCTATTAGTCCATTTTTACACTGCTGATAAAGACATACCCAAGACTGGGCAATTTACAAAAGAAAGAGGTTCATTGGACTTACAGTTCCAGATGGCTGGGTAGGCCTCACAATCATGGCTGAAGGCAAGGAGGAGCAAATCACATCTTACGTGGATGGCAGCAGGCAAAGAGAGAGCTTATGTAGTGCAACTCCCATTTTTTAAAACCATCAGATCTCATGAGACCCATTCACTATCATGAGAACAGCATGGGAAAGACCCACCCCCGTAATTCAGTCATCTCCCACCAGATCCCTCACACAACACATGGGAATTATGGGAGCTACATGATGAGATTTGGGTAGGGACACAGAGCCAAACCGTATCACCCATGTTTACTGTGGCACTATTCACAATAGTGACAATGTGGAATCTACTTAAGTGTCCATCAATAGATGAATAGATAAAGAAAATATGGTATGTATACAGAATGGAATATTATTCAGCCCAAAAAATTAAATCCTTTGACCATGTTTGATTATGTTAAAAAAAAAAAAAGAATGAAATCCTGCCATTTGCAGAAAAATGGATGGAACTGGAGGTCATTACATTAACTGAAGTATTGCATGTTCTCACTCACATATGGGACCTTAGAAAGTAGATCTCTAGCAAAGACATGGAATCAACCTAAATGCCCATCAATAGTAGACTGGATAAAGAAAATGTGATATATATACATTATGGAATACTGATATGGCTTAGCTGTGTCCCCACCCAAATCTCACACGGAATTGTAATAATCCCCACATGTCAAGGGTGGGGCCAGCTGGAGAAAATTGAATCTTTGGGGCGGTTTCCCACATACTGTTCTTGTAGCAGTGAATAAATCTCACAAGATCTGATGATTTTATAAATGGGAGTTCCTTTGCACAAACTCTCTTACCTGCCACCATGTAAGATGTGACTTTGCTCCTCATTTGCCTTCCACCATGATTGTGAGGACTCCCCAGCCATGTGGAACTGTGAGTCAATTAAACCTCTTTTGTTTATAAATTACCCAGTCTCTGGTATGTGTTATTATTATTATTATTATTATTATTATTATTATTATTATTATTGAGATTGAGTCTTGCTCTGTCACCCAGGCTGGAGTGCAGTGGCACAATCTTGGCTCACTGCACCCTCCACCTCCTGGGCTCAAGTGATTCTCCTGCCTCACCACCCAAGTAGCTGTGATTAAAGCGCTTACCACCATGCCCAGCTAATTTTTCTGTATTTTTAGTAGAGACAGGGTTTCACCATGTTGGCCAGGCTGGTCTCAAACTCCTGACCTCAAGTGATCCACATGCCTCAGCCTCCCAAAGTGCTGGGATTATGGGCATGAGCCATCGCACCTGGCTCAGGTATGTCTTTATTAGCAGAATGAGAACAGACTAATATAGTAAATTGGTACTGGTAGAGTAAGGTGCTGCTGTAAAGATACCTGAAAATCTGGAAGCAACTTTGGAATTGGGTAACAGGCAGAGATTGGAATAGTTTGGAGGGCTCAGAAGAGGACAGAAAGATGTGGGAAAGTTTGGAATTTTCCAGAGACTTGTTCAATGGCTTTGACCAAAATGCTGATAGTGATATGGATAATGAAGTCCAGGTTGAGGTGGTCTCAGACGGAGGTGAGGAACATGTGGGAACTGGAATAAAGGTGACTCTTGCTATGTTTTAGCCAAGAGAATGGGAACATTTTGTCCCAGCTCTGGAGATTTGTGGAACTTTGAACTTGAAGGAGATGATTTAGGGCATCTGGTAGAAGAAATTTCTAAGCAGGCAAGCATTCAAGAGGGGATGGGTGCTGTTAAAAGCATTCAGTTTTATGTATTTACAAAGATAGATTTGTAATTGGAACTTATGTTTAAAAGGGAAGCAGAGCATCACAGTTTGGAAAATAGGCTATATGGTCTTTGTTGCAACTACTCAACTCTGCCACTGGGGGCTGGGTGTGATGGCTCACACCTGTAATCCCAGTGCTTTGGGAGGCCGAGGCGAGAGGATCACTTGAGATCAGGAGTTCAAGACCAGCCTCGCCAACATAGTGAAACCCCCACTCTACTAAAAAAAAATACACAGATTAGCCAGGTGTGGTGGCGTGCACCTGTAGTCCCAGCTACTCAGGAGGCTGAGGCAGGAGAATCTCTTGAACTTGGAGGTGGAGGCTGCAGTGACCAAGATCATGCCACTGCACTCCAGCTGAGGCAACAGAGTATATTAGTCAATTTTCCCACTGCTGATAAAGACGTGGACTTATAGTTCCACTTGGCTGGGGAGACCTCATAAATATGGTGGAAGGTGAAAGGCACGTCTCATATGGCAGCAGACAAAAGAAGAAGAACTTGTGCAGGGAAACTCCCCTTTTTAAAACCATCAGATCTTGTGAGACACATTCACTATCAGGAGACCAGTGCAGGAAAGACTCACCCCCATAATTCAATCACCTCCCACCGGGTTCCTCCCATGACACATAGGAATTGTTAGAGTTACAATTCAAGATGAGATTTGGGTGGGGACACAGCTAAACCATATCACACAGTGAGACTCTGTCTCAAAAAAAGAAAAAAAATCAACTCTGCCTTTGGAGAAAGAAAGCAGCCATAGATGATATATAATTGAATGCATATGACTGTGTTTCAATAAAATTTTATTTGTAGATACTGATATTTGAATTTCATATAGTTTTCATGTGTCTCTGTGTATTACTTTTATTTCATTTTTCAACCATTTAAAAATGGAACCTGGGTCAGTGACATGTGCTGTCATCCCAGTACTCAAGAAACTGAGGCATGAAGATCACTTGAGCCCAATAGTTTGAGACCAGCTTAGGCAATATGGTGAGACCTTGTCTTAAAAAAAAAAAAACCAACAACAATAAAATAAAATAAAAGTGGAAGGAAGGGCCATTTTTAGCTTGCAGGCTGGATTTGGTCTGTGGCCCATAACTTGTCAAGCCATGTCCTTCTATGGGGTTTACAGTTCATATAATTCTTTACTAAGTCATTTGCAGTCTAAATTGTTATTTTTTATATCTAGGTCTTGTGTCTTTAATTGGGTTGTGAGTTTTCTGAGGGAAGGCACCTCATACTTGTTTGTAAATGCTCTAAAGACCAAGTTCATTGGTGAAAAGCAAGTGTGATAAATGTTGATTAGAAGAATCAGTTTTGCCCACGATGATCTTGGTCACAGGGAGCTGTAGATGGTTGGAGGAGATTGGTGCTTCTAGTATGTGGAAGATCTAGGCAGAAACAGTGGGAACAGAAGACTCAGGAAAATCCTTGAAAGACAGCCAGAAAATAGAGTTGGATTCAATATTGAACTTTAAGATAGAGAGAAACTAGGAAGTAGATGTCTCTTTTTCATCCAAGCCATGAAATCAAAGTGAAGTCAGGCAGTAAAAACCAAACTCCTGGGCAGCTGCGTTTCTGCAATGCTCTAGTATATCTTTCTGGATCAAAATATTCACAAGGGAATTACTGAGCATTTCTACAACTGGTCCTTTGGCTAAAGTGCATCTTCCTACCTTTGACCTCGTGCTCCAATCGACTTTTCAAAACGCAATTTGGGATTCATCATTTCCAAAAAGCCTTTCCCACTTTCCACTTCATCCCCATCCCAACACGGATACAAACACACACACACACATACTGCCTTGAGCAGGCCTCCTCTAGTGCAGGGATAGTTACTCTCTTTCTGTTTACTGTGCCTCAGACAGTGGCTGGTGCCCTGCAGGTAATCAATGAGTTTTTTTTGTTGGTGTTTTTTTTTTTTTTTTTTTTTTTTGAGGTGGTGTCTCACTCTATTACCCAGGCTGGAGTGCAGTGGCATAATCTCAGCTCACTACAACCTCCACCTCCTGGGCTCAAGTGATTCCCCCACCTCAGCCTCCTGAGTAGCTGGGACTACAGGAACATGCCACCACACTCAGCTTTTTGTAGAGATGGGGTTTCACTATGTTGTTAAGGGTGGTCTCAAACTCCTGGGCTCAAGTGATCCACCAGCCTCGGCCTCCCAAAGTGTTAGGATTACAGGTGTGAACCACCTGGCCCTTTTTTTTAAATGCAGTTTTAAAATAGAACTTCTTCAAATCCAGCCATTCAGAGAAGCACCTAGTTTTTACTATATTTTTATCTTTGTTGCCTAGGAGCAGGGAAAGAGGGAAAAAGGGAAAAAAAACTAAAGGCAGGCTGTAGCGCAAATCCTCTGTAGATCCTTCCTTTAAATGCTAGAGCAGTGGTCCCCAAACTGCCATTGCTGGACTCCACCTCTAGAGTTTCTGATTCAAGAAGTCTGGGAAAGAAACCAACATTTTGCATTCCTAACAAATTCCTAGGAAAGGCTGATGCTGCTGGTCTGGGACCACACTTTGAGAAACAGTGCTCTAGAACCTGAGCTCTACTACTGCCCTATACCATGAAGAAGTTTGGGAAGCTTGTCTTCTGACTTGGTGGCTTCCATTCCTATCATGTACATTTCCTCTCCAACCTCAGATTTCTGATGTTTCCTCTCAGCCCCACATTATCATTGTTCTCTAGCTAGGTTGCTTTCAAACACCAAAAAGAAAAAGCACATGAGAAGGTTTCATATTGAAGTAAAAATAAATGGTAAAGCTTTCTTTTACATCAAAAAATCAACCTTTAAAAGGGAGTACAGGCCAGGCATAGTAACTTGCACCTGTAATCCCAAATCCCTTTGGGAGCCTAAGACTGGAGGATCGCTTGAGCCCAGAAGTTTGAGATCAGCCTGGGCAATATAGTGAGACTCCACTTCTATAAAAAATAAAATGTAAAACTATAATTTTTTTAAAAACAGGGAGTACACTTGTGTAAGCTAATAAAATGGAACTCCAGGAAGAGAGCTTCAGAGTTTATCTAGGTGAAAAAGAAGCTTTGCCCACAGGAAATTACACAATCCAACCCACATCCACCACTTGGGGATACATCCATCTCAGGGCAGGTATTAAGGTATTAAAACCCTGCCTGGATCATAATTTTAAGTCACTATCATTTGAAACAGCACATCTTGAGTTTTGCTTTTTGTAGGTGTGTGGTGATAGCTGGGACCACAGGCAGATATAAAGCAAAGTCACAATTCCTAGGAGCATGAAAAGCAGGGAGATGGGACTGTGGCTGGGAGATGGGACTGTGGCTGGGAGTATCTGAGAGGTGGAGGGAGGTTAAGATCTGGAGAGATCAAGGGGTACAGAGGAAGAAAAATTCTTTGTCAGGAAGAAGTAACTACAGCAGCAAAGTCAGAGGGATAGGAATAGAAGGCTGGCAGTGTTGGTTGCAGGGAACTGTGGGAGAAGAGGCAAGAAAAGGAGGAAGGGGGCAGATGGTAAGGACTTTGACAAGTGAAGAAATTTGACCTTGATAAATTGGGTTCTGACTGTATCTTACACAGTCTCCGCAAGGTGACCAGAATGACGTTTCTAAACGCAAATATGACCATGCCTTGCCTCTACTTAAATTCTTCAGTGGTTCCCAGTGCTGTCAAGACTGAATTGGAACTCCTTAGCAGAATCTGGGCTCCTGCATTCCTCTGCAGTTCCCACTCCAGAAACATCCTTGACCCATATCTCTCTCTCTCTCACACACACACAAACACCTCTGCGCTTCAGTTGTGTCACCCTAATCCTCCTGGGCGTTGCACACTCTCTCACTTCTGTGGGCTTCAACTTCCTCACCCTCTGCCTTCCCTCACACTCTCACCTGATTTAAGATTCTCTTTGATTTATTCTAGGATTCAGAAGAAGGGTGTAGCCGGGTGTGGTGGGGCTCGTCTGTGGTCCCAGCTACTCAAGAGGCTGAGGTGGGAGGATTACATGAGCCCAGAAGGTTGAGGCTGCATGAGCTATGGTCACACCACTGCACTCCAGCCTAGGCAACACAGTGAGCCCTGTCTCCAAAAAGAAAAAAAAAAGAAAAGGGTGTGTTCCCCACCTGTGTCCCTTCTGGGATCCATAACTCTGCATGGTCATTCATGTAAAGCCCCTTGTGCAGCAAACAGAGGATACATCTTTATCAGTTGATTGTCATTATCTGTTTCATTCTCTGTCTCCCCTCTTACACTGTGAGCGCCCTGAAAACAAGAATTGCATCCCTAGCACCTAAAACAATGCCTGACACACAGGCGGGAAATATTTGTGGAATTAACTTTGAAACAATGATATTATTTTTTAAAAAAATGTATTGGAATTTTGAAATAAAAATTAATCTATAAATTCAGAAAATACAGAAAAATACAAAGGAGCAAGTAAAAATCCCTTGTAATTGCTCTGCTCTGAGATAACCCCTTTCAGTTTATTTTGAGAATATTTGAGAATTTTTGAGAAAAGGAACACTATGTAAAAAATGGAACATAGGAAAAAAATTCTGACAACTGTGTGTCTCACAGAGAATGGAATTAAAAGACTAATTAGGACATTTAAGACTCAAGGTATGAGATGTTAAACTTATGGACTAGATGGGATTAGAAAAAGAATGAAGATGAGTGTGATAAGTAGTACATGAAATAACAAGACTTCAAAATTGATTAAAAGTGGTGGTGGGAGGGGAATAGAGTAAAGGAAGAGTATCAGGTGACCCTAAAAGTTAACAAAATGTTTGTTAAGTACATGAAAGAGTTGGAGATTGGATGAGTGGAAGTATTCTTCACTCTCTCTATCAAATATCTACTGGGCACATACTGCATCTAGGCACTGGTCTAGGTACTGGGATACGTCAATGAACAAAACAGCACAACCCATAACCCTTCTGGAGTTTCAGTTATGGTGGTGAAAATTATGGTACCAGTTAGAGAAATAGGCAGATTTAGACTGGGAGATAAATTTAAACAGTTCTTTAAAGCGTTTTGAAAGAGGCCGTGTCTTCCTTTAATTCCCTGAACGTATGTGTAGACTGAAATGGGTAAAGCATATTCAGAGCTGCCACACCGTAACGAGATGGGATCTTTCTGTCCAGCAAAGAGAGAAGACAGGTTGCGGGAGAGAGGGGAGTAGAAACCCCTAATTATGCAATGGCTGTTGTTAGGTCTGTGCCAGATGTGGATATGGGTGGAATTCCTTCTTGACAAAAACTGAAATTAGTGTATCTCTGAAAAGAAATCCCCTAATAAAAAATTTTGTTAACAGTCAATAGTTGGAAAAGCCACAAAAAATTTTAGAAACTCCTGAAGAAAAACACTAAATAAGGCCAGGCACAGTGGCTCACCCCCATAATCCCAGCACTTTGGGAGAACAAGGTGAGAGGATTGCTCGAGCCCAGGAATTTGAGACCATCCTGGGCAACACAGTGAGATCCTATGTCTACAGAAATTTAAAAAATCAGCCAGGTGTGATGGCACACACCAGTAGTCCCAGCTACTTGAGAGGCTGAGGTGGGAGGATCACTTGAGCCTGGGAGGTAGAGGCTGCAGTGAGCCATGACCATGCCACTGCACTCCAGCCTGGGCAACTGAGTGAGACCTTGTGATATAGTTTGGCTGTGTTCCCACCCAAATCTCACTTTGAATTGTAGCTCCCATAATCCCCATGTTGTGGGAGGGACCCAGTGGGAGGTAATTGAATCAAAGGTGCAGTTTTCTGACACCATACTTGAGGTAGTGAATGTCTCATGAGATCTGATGGTTTTATAAATGAGAGGTGCACTGCACAAGCTCTCCTTGCCTGCCTCTGTGCAAGACGTGACTTTGCTCCTCCTTTGCCTTCTGCCGTAATTGTGAGGCCTCCCCAGCCATGTGGAACTGTGAATCAATTAGACCTCTTTCCTTTAGAAATTACCTAGTCTCAGGTACGTCTTTATTAGCAGTGTGAGAACGACTAATACCTTGTTTCAAAAAGAAAAAGAAAAACTAAACACTAAATAAACAAAATGGCCTGATTATTATTTTATGGCCATATTCATTTTGTGAAAATTCATTGAGATCAGCATTTATTATTTGTACATTTTTCTTTTCTTTTCTTTTTTTTTTTTTGAGATGGAGTTTCGCTCTGTTGCCCAGGCTGGAGTGCAGTGGCACAATCTTGGCTCACTGCAACCTCCGCCTCCCGGTTCAAGCGATTCTCCTGCCTCAGCCTCCTGAGTAGCTGGGATTACAGGCGTGAGCCACCACGCCTGGTTAATTTTTGTATTTTTAGTAGAGATGGAGTTTCATCATGTTGGTCAGGCTGGTCTCGAACTCCTGACCTCATGATCCGCCCATCTTGGCCTCCCAAAGTGCTGGGATTATAGGCATAGGCCACCATGCCTGGCCTATTTGTACATTTTTCTATGTTTGTATATATATATATATATATATATATATATATATATATATATATATATATATATAAAAAATACATCAATAAAAATTTTACCTAAAAGCATTCCAGTTCCTTAACTAGCTGGTTGGCCACAGGCAGTTATTAGGGTGCTTTGAACTTTGTGTTCCCTAATACCAACACCTCAGGGTCATTATGAGCTTGAAGAAATAATGTGTATAAAGTGTCTGGCCTACTTCTTGCCATACAAAATGCCCTCATTCATGTGAGGTCCTCATTTTCTCCAATTTCCTTATTTTACACTTCACCAGATTTTTTTTTTTTGAGACTAGGTCTCACTCTGTTGTCCAGGCTGGGGTGCAGTGGCATGATCACAGCTCATGGCAGCCTCAGCCTTGACCTCCTGGGCTCAGCTTCCGAGTAGCTGGGACTACAGGCATGAACCACCACACCTGGCTAATTTTTGTATTTTTTGTAGAGATGGGGTTTTGCCCATTGCCCAGGCTGGTCTCGAACTCTTGGGCTCCAACAATCTGCCCACCTCGGCCTCCCAAAGTGCTAGAACTACAGGTATGAGCCACTGCGCCTGGCCTTTCACTAGCTTTCTAGGTCTGAGTTCCTAATAAAGTCAAAGGGATATACTGCTGGACCCGATGCACCAAAGGCTGAAGAGCAGAAGACAGAACATCTGTGCCTTCAGGAGGAGCCAGTGCCAGCCAGGCCCTGGGACTCCTGAGTAATAGGGAAAATGCGAAAGTATCCCTGTCATAATTGAAACGCAGCCAAACACTGCTGCTGAGGTGCCAATGATAATACAACGATGGGCAGCTGAAATTACAGGATTTGCTCACTGTGCAGATTTTCCCCACAGAAACATAGAGGGGTAAGTCAAACAGACGGCAATATGAAATATCAAAACAGTGGGTTTTCCCAGGGATGATTATAGCAGGGAATTTGGGTTTACTTTTTGGTACCAGTCTTACAGGAATGTTTGGTTGACTCATTAAAATCCAATCAATGGCTATTTTCATGTGTGCCATCTTCTGACACAGGATTTGGGGAAATGGACATATTCTGCTGTCAGCAGCATGTGGTGTTAACTTGCTTTTCTTAACAAAGTTTCTATTCTGAGTTTTCTATTCTCCCTAGTTTGGTGCCACCGAAGGTAACCTGGTCTATCAATGCTCACCTAGCAAGAGAATCTCTATGCTCTAAAACTTCCCCTGGGTTACTCCCTCTGCGGCTCAGGAACCCACCTGTTCATTCACCTCTGCCCTTGGGTGCCTGAGGTGGCACTGTGTGGTGCTAGCATGGTCACCGTAAGGATTCCCTCCACATCACACATCATTGATTCAGTGTTGCCCCATTAACATCCCATCTCCTTGGGGTAGGAGGTTCTGGTTTCCATGCATACCATGCCACCTTAGACACATGTGGGTTGTATTTTGTTCTTTGCAGATTTCTATTTTTCTTTTCTTTTCCTTTTCTTTTGTTTTCTTTTCTTCTTTTTGACACAGGGTCTTATTCTGTCCCCCAGGCTGCAGTGCAGTGTTTCAATCACGGCTCACTGAAGCCTCAACCTCCTGGGCTCAAGTTATCCTCCCACCTTAGTCTCCTTAGTAGCTGGGACCTCAGGTGCACACCACCATGACTGGCTAATTTTTTTTTTTTTTTTTTTTTTTAAGACAGAGTCTTGCTCTGTTGCTCAGGCTGGAGTGCTGTGGCACAATCCTGGCTCATTGCAACCTCCGCCTCTCGGGTTCAAATGACTCTCCTGCCTCAGCCTCCTGAGTAGCTGGGAATACAGGCACCCACGACCATGCCCAGCCAATTTTTGTATTTTTAGTAGAGATGGGGTTTCACCATGTTGGCCAGGCTGTTCTCGAACTCTCAACCTCAAGTGATCTGCCCACCTCAGCCTCCCAAAGAATTTTGGTATATTTCGTAGAGATAAGATCTTTCTATGTTGCCCAGATTGGTCTCCCAGGCTCAAGCAATCCCCCTGCCTCAGTCTCTCAAAGTGCTGGGATTTCAGGTGTGAGCCACCAGCGCCCAGTTGTTCTTTGTGAGGTTTCTTAAATGTAAAGTAACAATTCCATCCACCTGTCACTTAAATAAGAGGATATTTATTGTTTAAAACTACATATTAAACAAAAAGCTACTTGCTCCAAATGTGATAGCATATGTGTGGTTGGGTGACAAGGTTCCAGCCTTGGTTCAGCAGAACATCTGATCTTGTCTGGTCCTGATGTCTTATGGTCTTGGGCTTCCCTCTGACTTTCAGGGGACAGTGACAAATGAGACACAGATGTAGGAGCAGTGATATACGGAGTTTGAGTCCCTAACCTCAGCATCTCCAGCCCATTTCTTTATTATTACTACAGAAACAGGTGTGGCACTTAAAAAGGTTTCTGGTCTCTCGCCCCTCAGTCTGAGCATATGACATAACTGCTCTTCCTACCCTATGAAGGTGGGAACAGACAGGTGAAGACTGCTCTTGGCTAGAGTTTGGGACTGATTTCTGCCCTTGAAACATAGGCTCACAGGCAAGCATAAGGGGTGTAGGGAGTTAAGACAGCATGCATCATCCAAGGAATGATTACACCCATTATCTCTATAAGAATGAGAACTGGCCGGCCAGGCACAGTGGCTCATGCCTGTAATCTCAGCACTTTGGGAGGCCGAGGCAGGTGGATTACCTGAGGTCAGGAGTCTGAGACCAGCCTGGCCAACATGGTGAAACCCCTTCTCTACTAAAAATACAAAACTTAGCCAGGCATGATGGTGCGCACCTGTAATACTGGCTTCTTGGGAGGCTGACGCAGGAGAATAACTTAAACCCGGGAGGGAGAAGTTGCAGTGTGCTGAGATCGTGTGCCACTGCACTCCAGCCTGGACAACACAGCAAGACTTTGTCTCAAAAAAAAAAAAAAGAGAACCACTGCAACATTAACAACGGCAAATGGCAAGTTTATAAGTCAAGTGATATATGAATGATAAGCACTTGATAATTACGTGACATGTAGGTTGACAATCACTTCCATATTGGCCCTCAAACTCACCCAAGTGAGGAGGTAAAGAAGGAATGTGTTCAGTGGCCTGTGAAGTGTCTTGTCCTTTCTACAGAGAAGGGTGTGGACAAGTGTGGCCTGGTTTCACCTTCTCAGCTGCCTGCCTTTACCATGCTGAGTCCATAATCTGTTATGGGTCATCATCAGGAGGAAGAGTTTTGGAAATTTGGGGGATGATTACAACCATAAAAGAATCTTCTTTGTTGTGCAAAATTTTTCTCAAATTCAGGAAGTTGTCACCTAGGTTCAAGGCCACTAAAATTACATGCAGTTCTTAAAAATGTCAGTACATTTTTGGGGAGAGGTTTGATCACTTTCATGAAATTTTCAAAGGGACTCATGATCTCCAAAAGATTTTGAACCATGGCTCCAGTCAAGTCACTTGACAGTGGGACAGAGAAGAAACAGAAAATTACCTTGGCAAATCTTCAAAAGTGAGATAAGAAAATTGCTACAGTAGAGTGGACTTAAGATTTCCTTTCTATTGTGGAGGTAAAAAACTGGAAACAGTATATGCTCATCAATGCAAAAAGCCTTAAATTTTATGGTATATTAAAACTATGAGATTAATAATAAAGATATTTTATGAGGATGAAGACATTTATTCTATACCAGTTGATTTGCAGGATTTTCCATGCTGTGATCAAAAAGTGAGACGAGCAAGAATCAGAGAAGTCTTTGTAATGTAATTCCATTTTTATAGAATAAATCATGACAAGCTTCCTTTCCCCTTACATATGTGTATATGTATGTGTGTGTGTGTATGTGTGTGTGTACATACAATATGAACAAGGAGAAAAAATCTAGAAGACCAGATATCAGATTGTTAATGAAGAGAAACCAAGAGCAGGTGAGGGTGGGTTATTCAGTTAAGGGAGTAAAGGAGAAGCGGGATGTGTATAAAACAAATGAACAAACAAGTGAACAAATAAATAACAGCAAAAAGACCCACTATATTGAAAAAGGAAGGCCTATAATAAGAGCTGCAGACATCATATGAACACAGTTATATAAAATTAAATATATGTACATATATGCATAAGGAGAGGCATGGAAGAATGATGATTCAAATGGTGGTTATCTCAGAAAGAGAATAGCAATTGATATTTTATTCTATTTCTCATATTTTCTGAAGATGATTCGTTTATTTTTTATAAATTTTTAAAAAATAAATAGAGATGAGGGTCTCACTATGTTGGCCAGGTTGGTCTGGACTCCTGGCCTCAAGTGATCCTCCTACCTCAGCCTCCCAAAGTGCTGGAATTACAGACATGAGCCACCATGCCTGTCCCCTGAGGTTGATTCTTTACTCTTTTTCTTCTTTTTTTGTAATTCAAGTATTATATGACTGATATGTATTATTTATATAATTAGAGAAAACTTAAAATTTGATGGTGATAAAAATTATTTTTATTTCAGGTGGCATTTTTCATTCTCTGTTGACGTTCATTATTTTCAGAAATGAGACATGGAAAGTACATAAGTCGTGATTTCTGTATCATGCACCCTAGTTGAGCAGATTTGGCAAGGATGTGGCATGTGGGTAGGTGCCAATGTGAGTCGCACCAATGGAGTAGCCTAGTAGTTGGGAGGAAACAGACCCACTAAATTCAGTTCAGTGGATTTAGGCTCTGGGAAAAAGGTCAGAATGTGAATATCTGTTTAGGGTCACAAATGCTGAGGCAAGAAGCACAGAGCCTGCTAGCAACTTGAATGGGGCTTCAAGTGAAGGAGTGGGCCATGAGATAAGGCTTCATGGGAGTTACCATACCAGATCTGGGCCTGGGAAGACAGACTACACTTTGATTAATGAGAAACAGGATCAAAGTCCTTCCAGAAACAGACATGAACATGGCTAAAGACATGAAAGACTTTCTTGAACTTCTTGAACTATGCCAAAAACACAGTTGTTTAGACATATTTGTCACTCACCATGAGATATTTTGCATTTACAAAATGAATTCTAAGAATGATTCACTCTTCTTTGCAGGGCTTACTAATCATCTGATGGACTTGGTATTAGAAACAAGGAAGTTCCTTGCTCTCTCCACAGTGTGGATGTTCTCAGAGCTGACTTGGGTTGGAAAATCCCAAGAGGTTTGTTGTTCATAATGAAACTATGATGTGGAACTTGAGCTCATGAAATGCCCTGGTGCTAAGGAAGGACCTCTCTTTTTCATCTGTATTTGTCTAAGATATGTTAGATGACCACTTTGGGCAAAAAAGAATTCCACTTCGATTTGATAAAGCTATGCTCAAGTGACTTCATTCTGTTCCTCTCTCTCTCTCTCTCTCTGTGTGTGTGTGTGTGTGTGTGTGTGTGTTTCTTTTACTTTTCTCTTTCCCTTCCCTGAATCACCCTCCTTTTCTTCCTCTGTATGGACTCATCTGATTCGTCAGCAGAACATGCATGGTTTATTTTTGGTCAAGACACTAGCAAAAGTAGGCAACCTGGGATAATAACAGGGCTTCCAGTGCGAGAGTCCTCGCTCAAAAATCTTTTTTAAAATCTCCATTCCATTCTTTTCTTTCTTTTTTCTTTTTTTTTTTTAAGTTAGTGGTTACTTCTTTTTTTTTTTTTTTTTTGAGATGGGTTCCAGCTCTGTCACCCAGGCTGGAGTGCAGTGGCTCACTGCAATCTCCACCTCCCAGGCTCAAGTGATCCTCCCGCATACTTGGGACTACAAGTGAGTGCCACCATGCCCAGCTAATTTTTTGGTATTTTCTGTAGAGATGGAGTTTCGCCATGTTGCCCAGGCTGGTCTTGAACTCCAGAGCACAGGCAATCCACCAATCTTGGCCTCCCAAAGTGCTGGGATTACAGGTGTGAGCCACTGCGCCTGGCCTCAAGAACTATCTCCCTTGCAAACTAGCCATGATGCCCCCAAGACCTCCAGCAGAGAGTCCATGCATGGCTCTCCACATTTTTCCAGTAGAGGGTCTTACTTCAATATTTTGAAGTTATGCCTTTCAGAGTTGTCTATGACAATGAAGATGCCCACAATATGGGTAGCTCTTTAAGGAGCCATCGAACAATACCTTGTGTAAGGATTGACTGAAAGGTACCTGAGACAGGGCATGGTGGCTCCCGCCTATAATCCCACCACTTTGGGAGGCCAAGGCAGGCGGATTACTTGAGGTTAGGAGTTCAAGACCACCTTGGCCAACATGGTGAAATCCTGTCTCTACTAAAAATACAAAAAATTAGCTGGGTGTGGTGGCAGCTGCGGGTGCCTGTAGTCCCAGGTACTTGGGAGGCTGAGGCAGGAGAATCACTTGAATCCCAGAGGTGGAAGTTGCAGTGAGCCGAGATCGCACCACTGCATTCCAGCCTGGGCAACAGAGCAAGACTCTGTTTCAAAAAAAAAAAAAAAAAAGTCAGCTGAGAGCAAAAGAGGCTTCTGAGAACCCTGATTTATTTGGAAAGTGGACTACCTGCTGGAGAAAAGTGAGCAGGTTGCCTGTACTAGCCAGTGATAACATCTCCAGGCTTTTGTTTCAGTTTATTTAAAGTCTATTGCTCTATATTAACTGTCTAGTGGTACAATTTTTTTTTGTGGTCTTTGAAGGCTAAAAAAGGGTCTACAATCCATGAAGTTTATATACTTTCTTGAAAAATGAGGCAAAACATACTATGCTTAAAATATACTAATAGTAACAATAGTAAGACTAATATTAATGATAATACAGCACACCTACTATGTAGAAAGTACCATGTTAAGTATCTCTCCTGTGTATGTAGTATGTGTGAATCTCAGTCCAGCTGTGCCAAATATATTGCATTTTCTTCCCTAACATTATTTTTTTATAGTTTTATTTTCATTTTTTTTACATTTTTTTATTTTTTTATTTTTTTGACCCTTCAAAACTTCAGTTGTTTGTTTCCTTTAATTAACATGCAAGTGGATTACACATCTTCCATAATTATAACATGGAAATGTATATGAACAAAATATACACATTTTTTGGTGAATGTCTAGGGAAGAATGGTGTCAGTGAAGTTCATCCAAGGTTTAAAGCAGCAGCATCCATGCAGCAAGGGCATGGTCAGCGTTTGGGGACAGAGGTAAATATCTGTAATCCATGCATCCCTTTGATTTCTTCTTTTAGTGCCTGATTAACCATGTGGTACTGCTGAACAGTTCTCTTCTGCTTAAATTCTTCTGATTCAATTTTAATTTCATTTTAAATTCAATTTAAATTAATTAATTCAATTAAATTTCTATTTAATTTCAACCTCCTGAAATGTCAGTGACTTTGATCACTGTAGCTCAAGGAAACTTTTCTTTGAGAATTTGGGTCACTTTGAGCTCCCTTTCATTCTGGGAGGCAAATATCCTATGGACATAGCGGATCCCGCAGAGCAGAGGTGCTGCCGCGGCTGGGCTTCATGCCACCATGTCTGGCTGATATCTACACTTTTAAATAGAGACAAAGTCTCATTATGTTGCTCAGGCTGGTGTCAAACCCCTGGGCTCAAGCAATCCTCCCTCCTTGGCCTCCCAAAGTGCTGGGATTATAGGCATTAGCCACCAAACCTGGCCAAATTTTATTTTCATTTTTAAAAATAAAGATAGGGTCTCACTTTGTTGCCCAGGCTGGTCTTGAACTTCTGGCCTCAAGCAATCATCCCACCTCTCCCTCCCAAAGTGTTCGGATTACAAGAGTAAGCCACCATGCCCAGCCACTTCCCAAAAATTTAACTTCTATTCTGAGCCTCCATCCCTTTCGGCTGGAAGGAAATTCAGCCGTAATCATCTGGAGTTCCATCTCCTCCCTATTGGTCCACCCAGCCTGCATATCTTCTCAGTTCTGCTCACTGCTGCTTTTGTGGCATGCTTGCTTCAGGGAAGTTAGAGGCACCAGGCCCTGCATCTCACTTCCCTGCAGCATCCCGTGATGATTCCTTCTGTGGTCTCACCACATCCTTGCAGCGCTGCCATAGAGTGGGGCTCAGTTCTTTCTGGCACCCAGAACCCACGGACTCTCCCACCACTCTCAGTATTAACTCACTTCAGGAGAAATTACTCTCTTCTTAAACTGTATTCACTTTAGTGGATTTAGGCTCTTGGAAAGAAGTAAGAATGTGAATAATGTGCTCAGGGTCATAAATGCCGAGGCAAGCAATGTGGCTTCTCCCCAGCATTTCTCTGAGGCTGGGACTCCAGGAGAATAATTCTCTTCTCAGGTAGAAGAAAAAGAGGCCCTCTGCATAGTCCCTGGCATCCACCTGCAAACCCTACCTTTTTTAAGTTCTGTGATCTGACCTCTAGGACCCTCTGGTGTTTCCTTTGAAAATGAGGATAATGGCTGGGTGCGGTGGCTCACACCTGTAATCCCAGCATTGGGAGGCCAAGGCGAGTGGATTACCTGAGCTCAGAAGTTCAAGACCAGCCTGGCCAACATGGTAAAACCCCGTCTCTACTAAAAATACAAAAGTTAGCTGGGCGTGGTGGTGTGCACCTGTAATCCCGGCTACTCAGGAGGCTGAGACAGGAGTATCGCTTGAACCTGGGAGGCAGAGGTTGCAGTGAGCCGAGATCACGTCACTGCACTCCAGCCTGGGCAACAGAGGGAAACTCCATCTTTTTAAAAAATGAGGATAATAACTTTTGCCTGTGCTGATGCACACCTGTAGTTCCAGCTACTTGGAGGCCGAGTTGGGGGGATCACTTGAGCCTAGGAGTTGTAGTGAGCTATGATCGTGCCACTGTACTCCAGCCTCAGCAATAGAGTGAGACCTCATCTCTAAAAAAATAAATAAGTAACGTTTGCCTCTTTATGCTTTAGTGATGATTAAATGAGGCAATGTATTATAAATACTGGGACATACTATCGCTGCTCACTAATATTTATTCTCTTCCCCTTAGCCCGAGAGGAAAACATCGTGCATCTAAGTCTGCAGCCAGATGAGATTCTGGTTCTCCACCACTGTATTCCTGGTGCCTAGAACTACCTTGAAGTTAGTAGGTGCTCGGTAAACATGCATGAATGAATCTAGCAAGACAATAGGGCCCAAAGGACATCAGGAGTGAACTTCCCTTGTGGAATAGTCATTACAGGGAGGATGTGTTCCCAAGACTCACTGAAAGCAAGAACTGGCCTTAACCACAGCAGGAAGGAACCTGTTCTTGGAAGATTGGCGGGAAGTCTCTTGAGAGAGTTGTAGGATGTAAGATACAGAAAAAAAAGCTGCTAAAGATACAAAGAAGTGAAAGCATGTCCTCACTGGAAATAAAAATAGGATATTGCACTCAGATTTTGATTCTCTCTAGGCCTTGACTCACCAAGTGTCCCAGATAGGTCAAGTATGAGGCGATCAAGACCCCTTGGGCAGCCATGGAACACTGACGTCGTTACAAACTAAGGTCGTGGAGTCAAGATGACCACTTTGGGCAAAAAAGAATTCCACTTCGATTTGATAAAGCTATGCTCAAGTGACTTGCTTAATAAAGCTATGCTCAAGATGACTTGCCTTGGAATCTTAGCTCTGACATTTTATGACCTTGGGCAATCACTTCAAGCTCTTTCTCACTTAATTTCTTCATTCGTAAAACTGGAATAATAATGGTAGCTACTGGAAAAGAGTTGTTACAATAATTCCATTAAATAATAGGGAAAAGTATTTAGTCTACGGCCTGACACACTGAGGGGTCAATGATTGCTATCTTCCTTTACTGCACTCTTAGGTAAGCCTCTAAAAGAGGTTGGTAAAGGGAATGAGAAGGGAGATCAACTATCTGCCCAGATCTCTCTCCTGTGGTAGAAAGGAGCTATGAGATGATTCTGACATAGGCCCAGACTGGAAGCTGGGGGTCCCAGCAAAGACATGGCTTCCAGGGGCCACACTGAGGAAAGCAAGAATCAAGGGATCATTGTCAATGCTCTGTGTGAAGAAGAGCACGTTTACGAAAGTGTAGAAAGTAGCTGACTTCAGAGTTGCTCGTGAGAAAGTGCTGAGAGCAGTTTCCTTATCATAAGGCAGATTTTGTAGCACCAACCTTCCAAAAGCATCTATTATGTTTTTCCTTCTTTAGCCAGACACCAGGACATTCCAGGGTATATCCCTGATACAATCACCTGAAGTCATTTGTGGTATCATCCCCAGGAATCCAGAGGCAAATCTAAGTACGTCATCAGCAAGGACAAGAAGGGAAGAATTCTTCCAAGATATACAAAGAAATCTCTTTCACACGCCAAGAGTCTGTCCATGGAGGAAGAAAACTTCAGCTAGTTCACCTTTCCTTTTATGGATGAAGAAATGGAAATTCAGAAAAGGGAAGTGAATTGCTTAAGGAGACATCTGGGAGATCTCCTGACCCTGTCCTGACTTGTTGCTATAACACATTTCATTTTGTCATTTTGATGTTTTTTCAAATTTGGGTCTTCTTATGAATATCTTTTTTTTTAAAGACAGGGTCTTGCTGTGTTGCCCAGGCTGGCCTCGAACTCCAGGCCCAAGAGATCCTCCCACCTCAGCCTCCTGAGTAGCTGGGACTACAGTTGTAAGCCACCCTTCCAAGTTCTATGAGTATCTTATTACTGCAAACACTACAAAAATAATACTGTGATACATACTTTCCTGCTTTTTAGTTAAAGCCATGCTATCCCCTTTGCTCTTGCAGGTGCCAGGAATAAGCAGACAGTCCTAGCAATATTGTAGGTGGATCTGGGTTCCCAAGGGTGGTAGCAGTTCAAGGTCTGTTCTCTGGAGGATAAACTTCTGCCATCTCCTCCCCTGCCATGGCCTGAGCAGTGCCCCGCTGCTAAGGTGACTTCAGCTGCTAGGGCTCCCCAGGAATTGGCCCAGAGCACCTCTGAGGAGCATAATGTTTGGAGCCATCTTAGGCAGTTGTGTTCACATAGAAAAATTATCTAGTCCTACGTGTACATCATAAGGTAGAGACAATGTGATGACATATACATATGTGCTGTTAGTGATTTGATTATTTTCCTGTTCTTACTCTCCAACAACAAGGTAAATATCTGGGGACAGAGAGAATGACTCAAGCATCTTTGAACTGACTTTGACTTTGCAGCCTGGTTTAATGGAAGCAGAAAGGCTTTGGAAACAGACTTGGCCTCAAACCTCAGCTATGCCACCTACTAGTTGTGTGGCTTTGGATAAGTTAAGTTCAGTTTCCTCATCCATAAATGACTACTGTGAGGATTAAATAAGATGGTGCATGAAACTGCTGGCAGCTGTTAAAGCCTCTCCATAAATTTTAGTTCTGTTTCCTTTATAATACATAGATCAGGGTTTCTCAACATTTATTACTATTCCTGATAAAGAGGCTTTGTAGACACTTTAAAGATTTCCCCCCATACAAATTTAATAGCAGACATAAATTGTATATCTGCTCATGTGCTGTATGCATATCTGTCTTTTATACACAAAAATATATATTTTTGCCTTTGATGACCAATTTTTCACCCAGTTGGGGGTGATATCGCCCCCATTGAGAAAGGACATCTTAATGGAGTAGCCTGTAATCTACACCACAAGATCAGTAAGTGACCCATGACACCAGTGTCACCTGGTCTGATGTGGCATCTCACCAGAGGATTGATAACAATTTTCTGGAAAACATTTATAAAGCCAAGTGATCTGGATTTAGAGATACTATTTAGATCACAGAAGGCAAGTCTGTTAAACTTTGTGTCATTAAAAAGTGACATTCTCACAGCAGAATAACCAGCTGTATTTGTAGGTTAGATAGACACAGAGAAAACAAATCAATGGCTAGAGAGAGGAGAACAGATCAGCAAGAATCTGCATAGTTCTCTGCAAGAGTGAGGCAAGATAATTTTTAAATTGGAAAATTATTTTTTTCTATATTTTTCTCCTTTTCTTTAAGCCTCACTCAAGCAGCCAGCAGACTGTTTCCCAGGCCACTGAGGTGGGTAAGAGCAATGGCTAAATCTTAACACACTCTTACGTGCACCCTACCGCACCATCCAGACCGTCCCCATACAATCAGGAGGCAGCGAACTTATGGTGTGATTTGAAGGGGTGTTGAGTAGAATCTATCCTCACACCGCAGCACCACTGCTTGCAATTCTACCTTTGGAATTTTATTCCCTGACTTGTAAAAGTTTTTAGTGCTTAAATATTCTCTATTGAGTAAGAGACAGATTCTGTGCAATGGGACAATTAGGTCAAGAGGGAAAGAAGCTGAGGTGATAGGCAGATAGATTCCAGAGGCAAACTTTTCCCATCTGCTAAAGTTGAAAAGAGTTAACCCACATCCTACCAACGCTAGACAATCTAGGATGTAGGGAAAGTTTGTCTCTGGAATCTATCCAGGTACCCAGTTGGGACTGAGCTTCAGCTTAGATGTCTGAAGATGTTAAGTTATAGAATCAGGATCTGAGCCGGTACAACACGTGGAATAAACAATGAAGTCGATGTTACAAATTTTTTTTTGCTACATGTAAAATCTCTGTATCACATTTCTCTAGGGAGCTGGATTCCGTTTAGAAAGCACTCATTTACTCCAGGAAAAGGATTTTATTTAATCTTTCAACATTTACTTTAAAAACTTTTTTTTATCTATAATGAATATAAGGAAAGTATTATAATGAAAATCAAGAATATCAGGCTTTAAGAAAATATATTTTAAGTTCTCCTTCTCTTTTAGTTGCTTGATATTTCTTTTACAAGGGCTTATTTTGTAGGATAGGTGGACGTAGAGGCTTATTTATCATTTTGAAGGTACATACTCTGAATTGCTTGAGTGATGGACTAGATGCTAATTGATCCATTGTCGTCTGAATAAAGTCATGCTTTTGTTTGCATGTTTTTGAGATAGATCAAGGGATGATATCAACTATGAGTCACTCATAGGATTCATATTCACAGAACCCGGACTAAGGGCTATATAAAGAGGAACAGTTCAGGAACTTAGGCTAGAAAGGAACACAGTAAACTGAATTGATCCGTTTAGAAGTTTACAATGAAGTTTCTTCTAATACTGCTCCTGCAGGCCACTGCTTCTGGAGCTCTTCCCCTGAACAGCTCTACAAGCCTGGAAAAAAATAATGTGCTATTTGGTGAAGTAAGTATGGACACTACAGTATTTATCGAGCTTGATGTTTGTCTTTAAGATTTAATTGCATTAACCAGTTTGTTTGTTTGTTTGTTTGTTTGTTTGCTTTTACGTATCAGCTGAAAATTGGTCTAGGAGGCTGTCTGCTTTCAGTATTAAGTTTTACTTTGTCAAAGAGGAATATAAAAAAGAGGTATTGGTTTTGAAGGACTGTTATGAAATTGGCAAGTGAACTTGTTTCTTCTTCTAAAAACCTTTGGCCAAGAAATTTCCATTCAATATAATTGGAGTTCACTTCTGTTATGGTATTTTACACTAATCATTAAATGCCAGTTAATAATCTGAGATCTGAACAATGGCAGGATTAATATAACCACTTCAGGCTGCCATGATAATTTAAGCATATTCCCTTTACCCTCAGTCATCTCAGTTATATCTTTACAGCTTTTCTTTTTCTTTTTTATGGAGATGGGGTTCCACTATGTTGCCCAGGCTCGTCTGTAACTTCTGGGCTCAAGCAATCCCCCGCCTCAGCCTCCCAAAGTGATAGGATTACAGGCGGGAGCCACCATGCCAGGCCCCATCTTTATAGCATTCTTTATGGATTTTTTTCAATTCTTAAATTCTTTTCCTTAATTAAAAGAGTTTGGTCTCCCTATTTTCTAAGATGATTTTAACATTGAATTTATCATAGTTATCCATTTTGTTTAGCTTTGAGTTTTTAAGCAAGAAATTTGTGTCCCAACTTATATTAATAACATTAATAATTCATGTATCCTTTTGTTTTCTTTTCTTTTTCTTTTTTTTTTTTTTTTTGAGACAGGGTTTTACTCTGACACCCAGGCTACAGTGCAGTGGCACCATCTTAGCTCACTGCAACCTCCGTCTCCTGGGTTCAGGTGATCCTACTGACTCATCTTCCCAAGTAGCTGGGACTACAGGCATGTGCCACCACTCCTGGCTAATTTTTGTATTTTTAGTAGAGACAGGGTTTCACCCTGTTGCCCAGGCTGGTCTCAAACTCTGGGGCTCAAGCAATCCTTCCACCCTGGCCTCTCAAAGTGCTGGGATTACCGGTATGCACCACTGTGGCCAGCCTGGGTGACCAAGAGAAACTCCTCTGTCTTAAAAATGAATAAATGACGTTTTAAAAAAGATACTTCCACTGGGATTCCGGGAATAAATCTAGCTAATAGTTTATGACATGTCTTTGTTTTTTTGTTTGTTTTTGTTTTTCTTTTTTTTGAGACAGGGTCTGTGTCTGTCATCCAGGCTGGAGTGCAGTGGTACAATCACGGCTCACTGCAGCTTCTACCTCCCAAGCTCAAGTGATCCTCTCACCTCAGCCTCCTGAGTAGCTGGGACTACAGGCATGCACCAACGCTCTGGGATAATTTTTGTGTTTTTTGTACAGAGGAGGTTTCGCCATGTTGTCCAGGCTAGTCTTGAACTCCTGGGCTCAAGAAATCCTCCTGCCTCAGCCTCCCGAAATGCTGGGATTACAGGCCTGAGCTACTGCTCCTGGCTGACATGTCTTTGATAGCACAAAAAATTAAGGTTTTTTTTCCTGATTATAATTAATTGTCCAAAAAACAATAATCTAACCTGTGAGTAAGATGTGCAAAATTCCTGGTCCAAAAGCATCAGTGTGCAATTGAGTCATATATGTGGAGCTCCCAACAGAAATTTTCTGTGTGTACTTACACATTGCTGAATGTATTTTTTTTTCCAGAGATACTTAGAAAAATTTTATGGCCTTGAGATAAACAAACTTCCAGTGACAAAAATGAAATATAGTGGAAACTTAATGAAGGAAAAAATCCAAGAAATGCAGCACTTCTTGGGTCTGAAAGTGACCGGGCAACTGGACACATCTACCCTGGAGATGATGCACGCACCTCGATGTGGAGTCCCCGATGTCCATCATTTCAGGGAAATGCCAGGGGGGCCCGTATGGAGGAAACATTATATCACCTACAGGTAACGTTGGTGTATGTCGCCCTGTATTTTTCTACTTTCCCATAGGTCTGACTTCTAACCTGAACCAGTTAGACAGCCCTAAATCTGGAAGTAGATAAAGTAACCTCCCTCCATTGTTAATGCTATCTCTGCTAAAATTCATTTTCTCTAGAAGGAAGAATTGTTCACTCAGGGGAGAATTGTTTGGCTTGCCAGTCCAAAGCAGATTTTAAAAGCTGCAAATAGGCCAGGCACGGTGGCTCACGCCTGTAATCCCAGCACTTTGGGAGGCCAAGGTGGGTGGATCACGAGGTCAGGAGATGGAGACCATCCTGGCCAACATGGTGAAACCTCGTCTTTACTAAACACACAAAAAAATTAGCTGGGCGTGGTGGCGCGCACCTGTAGTCCCAGCTACTCAGGAGGCTGAGGCAGGAGAATGGCGTGAACCCAGGAGGCGGAGCTTGCAGTGAGCCGAGATCGTGCCACTGCACTCCAGCCTAAGTAACAAAGTGAGACTCCATCTCAAAAAAAAAGAAAAAAAAATCTGCAAATAAAAGGAGAATGAAGCTAAATTTACTATAAATAAGATAATTTACTATAAAGAAGAGACAGGGAAGTTTATAGAGTAGTCAAGATGGATAAATGCAGAACCTGGGAGCAGGAGCAAAAAGCATAACCTTCTATGAAAGCAAATCCTTCACAGTGATGATCTGTGAGTTTTAAATAGGAAGAAATTAAGTTAGATTTTGGTTAAGGAGGAGGCTGTCCAAGAAAAAATGTTTCTGTAGTTAATGAAGCAAGTTTTAAAATCTGGACTCTTGATTTATGAAATGATCCATTTTCCAATTGTGCTAGCAAAAATGAAGTATTGTGGTAAGACAAAATAACACTGCCTTCCATACATTTTTCTCTCTCTTTTTGCTGATAAAGAATCAATAATTACACACCTGACATGAACCGTGAGGATGTTGACTACGCAATCCGGAAAGCTTTCCAAGTATGGAGTAATGTTACCCCCTTGAAATTCAGCAAGATTAACACAGGCATGGCTGACATTTTGGTGGTTTTTGCCCGTGGAGGTAGGGAACTTGTATTTCATCTTTGTCATTTGGCATGATCTATAGGATGTATAGAAGGACTAATTTTCTTTCCTTTTCCAAAAGCTCATGGAGACTTCCATGCTTTTGATGGCAAAGGTGGAATCCTAGCCCATGCTTTTGGACCTGGATCTGGCATTGGAGGGGATGCACATTTCGATGAGGACGAATTCTGGACTACACATTCAGGAGGTGGGCAAAACAAACAAACAAACAAACAAAAAACTAAGCAAACAGGAAAGGAAAACAACAAAAACCCTAACAAATTCAAAATTCTGGTTTCGAGAGACTACATTCTGACAAATGATTATATGATGGAAAATCTTGTTCTGATTATAATTTTGCCTCTAAATCAAATTTAACACTTCGTATGGGTCTCAATTTTACTCTCTGTAAATTGAGGATATTAAACTAGATCATCTTGAAGATCAGCTCTAACAATCTATGAGGATGCTATGAACTATGAGCTAGTTCATTAGCATAAGCTCAGAGGAACCTTAAGAAGCATAATATGAAAAGGTAAAAGCTGTTAATTAGGTGGTAAGTTTTTTTTTTTGAGACAAGGTCTTGCTCTGTCACTTAGGCTGGCATCACGTATCATGATGCTAACTTACTACAGCCCGGAACTCCTGTGCTCAAGCAAACCTCCCACTTCAACCTCCCTAGTAGCTAGGACCACAGGTGTGCGCTACCCACCCGGCTAATTTTTTAATTTTTTATAGGGACAGGATCTTGCTATGTTGCCTCGAGATCCTCCTGTCCCAGCCTCCCAAAGTGTTAAGATTGCAGGCAGCCTAGGTGATAAGTTTTTGACCTAGTGAAATCCATAAGCTCAAAAGCAAACACATACTAATTCTGTGTGTGCCAACAATTAGAGGATAAGATGGTCATCTGTATGATTCATAATATGCTGACAATTTCTTAGATTCATAGTGAGCAAGAAAGAAAAAGTTACAGAGAATCTAAGCATCCCTATAGAGAAACACAAGATTATACAGCCATGTACTTTCATGTGGTCTTGGGATAAAAATTTCAGAATGCCCAACTGAACATTTAATACCTTGGGGGCATTTACATAAGGACTGTAACTTACCATCCTCCTCAGATAGTTGACATGGGGTTAATTAAACTCCCCTGTTATTTAGAGGAATCACTAGCATGGGAAAACCCTAACCATCATGACAGAAGCCTTCTTAATTTTTCTATTGGAAATTTTAGATTCTATGACTCCCTCATGTGGAAAGTAAATGAGGAGAAAGTCATCAATAATATTCTCTACTCAGCATCCTCCTCTCTAGCTGATATTGCACAAGTTGGATGGCAATACTTTTATAAATACTATGTCCACCAGAAAGACTATTTGTTTTAGTCTAACACATAGCCTAAGGCTTATAAAGTTTTTGAAGAGAAGAGGACTTTTGTATTGTCAAAAGACAGATCATGTAGGATTAGGTAGTTGCTAAACTGCAAATCCTCAGCCAGACATGTTATATGTGCCTAAATTTTATCCAAGGTTATTTGGGGGATTGTAATTCCTTCATCTAAAATGGGATATGTGTGCTAGTTAGCCTCAAAAAAATGTTTTGGAATTCTAATAGACCTTAGAAGAGTAATTTAATACAGCTTTCTGTAGGTAGAGGAAATTAAGACAAAGAGAAGGTTAGTGGCTAGTTTGTGGAAAAGCTGGGCCAGAATATGCATTCCTACCTCTCAACCCAGTATTTTCTATCTGTCCATATTGCCTTATTTTTTAATTGGATTGATTCAATGCTTTCAAAAAGTGAAGTTATTTATGACAATTATAACTTAAAATGCTTATTTTCAGCCGTTTTTGTTGTTGTTGTTGTTGCTGTTATTTGCTTTTTTTGAGATGGAGTCTTGCTCTGTTGCCCAGGCTGGAGTGCAGTGGTGCAATCTCAGCTCACTGCAACCTTCGCCTCCAGGGTTCAAGCAATTCTCCTACTTCAGCCTCCTGACTAACTGGGATTATATTACAGGTGCTGGCCACCACGCCCTGCTAATTTTTTTTTTTTTTTTGGCAGAGACGGGGTTTCACCATGTTGGCCAGGCTGCTCTCGAACTCCTGACCTCAGGTGATCCGCCTGCCTTGGTCTCCCAAAGTGCTGGGATTATAGGTGTGAGTCACCGCATCCAGCCTCAGCCTGTTTTCTTTTACCCAGTAAATCAAATAAACAAATAGGTCAATGTTTGCTGACCTATTCTATTATGGTATTGGGTGATGAGGTTACTTGAGTACAGAGATGAAAAGTACACAATTCAACCCCTGAGCACGCAATCTAGTGAGAAACAGAATACAAACATAAACCCATTATTTCCAGATGAGGATCAGTGGTGGTGGCTCATAGGCATATTATAGGAATTGAGAATAGTTCAGGTTTAGGATAAATTGTAAAAACTTTGCTTACTCTTCCCAGTCTTGCTGGGAAGGTTACTGGACCCATGATACAGAAAATTCTTGATTTGTGTCTAGACACTCCCCGAGAGAGGTGTAGACTCTTTGCACTTGGGTATGGGAGAGTATTCCAAGGCCAGGCTCTGCAGCTAAGTGACGTGTGACTCTGGGCAAGTCAGTTCTTCTGAACTACAATTTTGTCATAGAAAAAGACAAAAATGAAGGCATTGGACTAGGGGACAAGAATGTTAGTCAGGAATTTTCAAATATTCTGCAAATTGAGCAATTTGAGAGAAGGGACATACCCCTCTCTCTTCTCTTACCTACAAAGGTGCATTCTCTAGGACATAACACAAAAATGAACAAGGATTTCTTATGGGACTCAAAAGAAAAGCCAGATATAAAGCCAGACTATTTTAATCATAGATAAAAATGGTGAAGTCTGAATGGGGCTCAAAAAAAAGACAGAAAACACTGTAACTTGGTAGTCCAAATATGTCTAAATTATAAGTATAGACTCTTTTAAGAATTATTTATTTTTTCTCTTTTTTGTTTTTTATATTCTTTCCTTGAGTCATATAGACTCTTTAATTTTATTTAGAATCATGTGTAGTAAAAGCAGAAACATTAATCTTGGCTCAAGCACTTAATTTGATTTAATCTTATAAATACTGTTTCCTCATCTGTAATGGAGAGCACAGTGGCTTCCTTTCATTTGTATGAGAATTAGACATAATGTGTTACATTTCTCAGTGACTCACAGTACCTGAAACTTAATGATAGCCTTATATTTGGGCTTACGAAAAGACGATTGCTAAAGACATTTTTTTCTATATCTAGTAAAGCTTCATGAAGACTAAAAATAGAATTGAGTCATGAGAGTTGAGAATTATTTAGAAGCAATGAAAACTGTTGAACGCAGCTGTGAGTTATTCTAGGAATTTTTACAACAGAATATATTTCATTTGTCTACTAGTACAGAGGTCCCTAACCCTAGGCAATTTTGTCCCCAAGGAGATATCTGACAATGTCTGGAGACATTTTTTGGTTGTCAAAACTAAAAAGGATTTGCTACTTGCATTTAGGGGTAAAACCTGAGATTTCTAAACAACTATAATGCACAGAACAGCCCAGACTACTGAACTGTAATGTCAGAAGTGCTGAGATTGAGAAACCCAACTCAAAAGGGTAAAGAAATAAGTAAAAGATTCTCAAATCTTTCTTTTTCACTGTGTCAGATATTGTGTTCTTGTCCAAGATGATAATGCATTTCACAGCTGTCTTTTGGTTGGTTTCTTCTTAGGCACAAACTTGTTCCTCACTGCTGTTCACGAGATTGGCCATTCCTTAGGTCTTGGCCATTCTAGTGATCCAAAGGCCGTAATGTTCCCCACCTACAAATATGTTGACATCAACACATTTCGCCTCTCTGCTGATGACATACGTGGCATTCAGTCCCTGTATGGTGAGTTGAATTCTTTATCATTTTGCCATATAAAGATACTCGCTTTTATGAATAGTCTAACAATATCTATATTTGGATAAAACGTTAATATCTGTCTTTTTTTAAGCCGCATAAGAACCCTGTGTGGCAGGTGACACAGGTATTATCTTCATTATACAGATGAGGACAAGAGACCTAGTATGTTAACGTCAGAGCCAGAGGCAGAACCAGAGGCCTCAAGTCTGGTGTTCTTTCTATCCAAGATACCATTGCCTTACTGATGAAGGCCCACACATTAAACAATCTATTATAACTGGAAAAGGAAAGTAAAGATAATCAGATTTTCTTCCTCCATGATATTGCAACCATGTGGAAAAAAAACCTTACTTTATACTTCCTGTGAATGTTATAGAAAGCTTAAAATGATTTTGATGCAATGTTCATTAAGAAAATTGAGTATTTAAAACATAACTGTTCCTCCTCTGAACTACAATGCAGATTTTGTTTACTAATGCTTCTCGAAATGTATTTTCAGGAGACCCAAAAGAGAACCAACGCTTGCCAAATCCTGACAATTCAGAACCAGCTCTCTGTGACCCCAATTTGAGTTTTGATGCTGTCACTACCGTGGGAAATAAGATCTTTTTCTTCAAAGACAGGTAGGATCATTTTCATATCTAACCAATATTAAAGTTTCTGCCTTTAAATTTTTTTTGTCAGAAAACAGTGGAAAATAATTGAAAATGAAGTAGATGAAACTTGTAAGCAGGAACTTGGACTCGATTCTGTAGGCAGTGAGGAGATCTTAAAGGTTTTGAAGCAGGAGACAGGTGTAATTACATTTGTGTTTTAACTAGAAAACTGGTGTGTAAAAAACGATTTGCAGTAGGAATCTGGGATGGGGATTTAGAAGATAAGAAACAGAAGCCAGACTATTTTAATCATAGATAAAAATGGTGAAGTCTGAAACCAAGACTGTAAAACAGTACCTATGCAAGAGACTTGATTTCCTGGTTATGGAGGAGAGAATTCCAGGATAACTTATGGTTTCTTTCTTAGAACACAGACTGAAGCAGATGTTGGTGGTAAGGAGGGGCAGTTGGGAAGACTAACATTTGTCAAGTAGGACAAATATTTCCCATTTTTGAGATTATAAGACTGATACACTTGAGGATAGTGACTTCCTTGAGGTTACAAAACTGGTGAGTGAATTGTAGGGTCGAACCAGAAGCTTAGATCCCTGGATTCCAAGCTCCAGGGTATTTCTGTATACCAGATTGCTTGTTAAAGTCATTGTTATTATCAAAGAGTTGATTGATATCCTTTTCTTGTGGATCCATGAACATCAGACATCCATGGAACAGAATGTGAAGACAATGGAAAGAAATATTGGGTCTTTTCACAGTTCCCTCCCATTCACATGCCATGGTTCTTGAGTCTACATTGTCTTTTAACATGTGTCAAATGTCTTTCATGTCAGGTTCTTCTGGCTGAAGGTTTCTGAGAGACCAAAGACCAGTGTTAATTTAATTTCTTCCTTATGGCCAACCTTGCCATCTGGCATTGAAGCTGCTTATGAAATTGAAGCCAGAAATCAAGTTTTTCTTTTTAAAGGTAATTCTAATCTTTAGTTTTGCCATTGAGTTTACTTCAAGGAAGAGAATAAATTGAGAAGAGACTACTACTTTTTAATAGATATAGACCAAGAAAGCACTCTTGATTTTATTAATAGTGGCTCGCTCTGAAGTGTAAACTAAAATAGCCTAAATACCTAAGTAATATATACAACTTCTGGGAAAAGTTTGTAAACTACAAAATAGTAATACTTGTGAAAAAAAACCATGGGAACCATAGAAAAGAGACTATGTTTAAGATCAATAAGCAATAAATATTATAACTGTTGGAAAGGAATTATGTTGTTTATAGTAAATCAATATTTTCTTATTACTCTTCCTGTATAATTCAAATTTACCCTATTTCTTTGTCTTCACAGATGACAAATACTGGTTAATTAGCAATTTAAGACCAGAGCCAAATTATCCCAAGAGCATACATTCTTTTGGTTTTCCTAACTTTGTGAAAAAAATTGATGCAGCTGTTTTTAACCCACGTTTTTATAGGACCTACTTCTTTGTAGATAACCAGTATTGGAGGTGAGTTTTAATGGTTGGTCATTCGACCCCTCAGATTGTGAAACAGATATGGAATGAGGCTTTCTAGAAGGCACATTTTCTGCGCAAATTCCCAAAGCTCCTTGACCTTCCAGGGAGAGAGATTAAGAGAATATAGGACTGAAATAGTTATTGTCAACTTAGTTCTTTGTGTTTTTGGTTTCTGATATATGAAATAGTAGATAATGTGTGTTTTTTTTTAAAAAAACACTCTAAATAAAATGTCATCTTATTAATCATAGTGGAAACACATTGGAAAATAGTGTCATAGATGTACAAGACCAAGTATTTAATCTACAGTCAGTTTCGAGGGTTATGGATTTCCAGATTCCTTTCTGTAATCACTGGATTCAAAAGACAAAATGAGACAACCATCCTCTAAATGACAGGAGGTCAGGAGGTCCTGCAAGATCTTCCTTAAAAGAAAGTCATATGGTCAAGTGAGGATAGGAGCTCATTTGAGTGTCTGTCTCTGTTGTCTCAATTGTCTACATTTTGAAGGAGGAGAGGATTCTGTATTCCTTCTTCTGAGTAAGCCAGTCATTTCCTAGATTGCTTGCCTGGTTGACATGAGACATAACATATATGTTAAGCTTACATTTACAACTGTTATTTATTCTTAAGCATTTAAAACACAATATCTAATTCCAATTGAATACCGGATGCTTATGACTTGAATTTGTCCACCAGCCCTTAGCTCTGTTTGAGAAACAAAACTTGATTTTAGCAAATAACACTTTCCAAAGAGCTCACAAATGGGTGTAGTTTGCTGTAGCCTGTTATTATGAACATTGGCATTTCAACTCTGAACAGTGTTTCTGTTTAGTTTTCCACTCCTACTTGGCCCAGGATTTTTCCCTGAAAGGCCATTGAGAGAGTGCTAAGCAAGCCATAAATACTTAGAGAACCAAATTGATAAACACAAGATAACAGTTAGATTCAGTTGCCACTTGGAAGTCTAGAGAGACACAAAGCTCTTTTCACTTGCTGGTAAAAGAGAATTTAAGAGAGAAACCAGGATATGACCATACAGCCTGGAAACAAAAGTGTTTATTTTCAATTTCTCTCAAACGTGTGTATAAAACCCTTTGGTTCCCTGGCTCTTAGCCCCTTGACCTGTTTATTATCTTCTTGGGGGAAATGGGTATTTTTGTCTCAGTGAATAGCTTTGAAAAGAAGGCAATGACAGGCAACTGAAGAATCGGTCACTGGGGCCTATGCTGTTGCCAAATCACCTTCTATGCCAGACTCTATAAAGCAGGACCAAGCACTAGAGGAAGTATTATGGGATAGTGGGAAAAAGACTTAACCAGAGTCAGGAAGCATAGGTTTGAGTCCTATAGGGACTCAGAGGAAATCAGTGAACTGTTTAGGTCCTTGGTTTTTTTCATCAGAGCAACTTAAGTCCTTTGGGGAAGAGCTCTTCAGTAGAGAAGGTGGGTTTGTGGTGCATGTCAGGAAAGCCACTTTCTGATTGAGTTCCTGCTGGTTACTTCTTTGCTCAGGTATGATGAAAGGAGACAGATGATGGACCCTGGTTATCCCAAACTGATTACCAAGAACTTCCAAGGAATCGGGCCTAAAATTGATGCAGTCTTCTACTCTAAAAACAGTAAGTAGATGAGGAAACCATGAAGATACTGGAAATAACATTTCAAAGCTATAAATCCTCTAAGATTAGAGAATAGGGCTCCAAATTGGAAAGGGACAGGTTTCTGCAGTTCCCCATAGGGCCGCAAGGAAAAACTCACACTGTACGTGGCTCTGAATAGGAGAGTTAGAATGAGCAGGGGCTGGTGGCACAAGTGGTATATTCCCAGGGTTGTCTAGCAGGCAGAGGGAATGTGATTGTTCCTATTTCTCATGTACCTGAGTCTCTGGAATTTCCTTTTACCACATCAGCCACACAGTATGTGCAAGCGAGCACATGGCAGCCAAGACTCAGGCAGTCTGGAGTCTCACCCTTTCCTACACCTTGCACTCTTGACCTTTCCTATAGTCCCTTCTGCCCTGATAGGCCCTCATGGACTGGGGACTGCGGGTGGGTTAAGAAAAGCTTGAGTTTGTATCGTATGTCTTCAAACAAGACCAGCCTAAGCAACTGTTCATGGGGTCAAGATTTTTTGTTTGTATTCCCTCCCCTCCCCAGTGTTGTTTCCTCCATCAAAGCCCCTGTGTGCCCTAGCTGGGTCCAATATCCTGTTTCATGAGTCCTCCACTTGGAGTATGACTGGCTGTTGGTAGACGTTTTGGGGGTATGATACCAAGGGCCCTCAACTTTTATGTCCTCAAATCACATCTCATCTTATTTTTTATTTGTTATTTTTTGATGAAAAAATAGAGATGAGGTCTTGTGATGATGGCCAGGCTGATCTCAAACTCCTGGCCTCAAGCAGTCTTCCCATCTCAGCCTCTCAAAGTGTGTAGTTAAGGGCATGAACCACAGCCCATAGGTCATCTATTCTAGATAATCTATGAGAAGAGATTTGTGTTGTTGTTGTTGTTGTAAAGAAATACAGGGAGGGAATTAAACTATTTAATTTGTTTTCATTTTCAGAATACTACTATTTCTTCCAAGGATCTAACCAATTTGAATATGACTTCCTACTCCAACGTATCACCAAAACACTGAAAAGCAATAGCTGGTTTGGTTGTTAGAAATGGTGTAATTAATGGTTTTTGTTAGTTCACTTCAGCTTAATAAGTATTTATTGCATATTTGCTATGTCCTCAGTGTACCACTACTTAGAGATATGTATCATAAAAATAAAATCTGTAAACCATAGGTAATGATTATATAAAATACATAATATTTTTCAATTTTGAAAACTCTAATTGTCCATTCTTGCTTGACTCTACTATTAAGTTTGAAAATAGTTACCTTCAAAGGCCAAGAGAATTCTATTTGAAGCATGCTCTGTAAGTTGCTTCCTAACATCCTTGGACTGAGAAATTATACTTACTTCTGGCATAACTAAAATTAAGTATATATATTTTGGCTCAAATAAAATTGAAAAAAAAATCATTTGGTTTTTAATATATTTTTCTTGAGAAACAGAATGTGTATTTTGAAAATAACTCTGAACCTACTCCTAAATAAAAACAAGTCTCTCTGACTATATCAAGAGATGAATAGAAATATGGCAAGTAGAAATAAAAGCTTAGATTTCTTTTGGTCACTTGGGTAACACCACTTGTGTCCTTGGTCTCAAGGCAAGAAAACATCCTCTAGGCTACACACAACCCCAAGGAGTGCTTACAGAGTACAGCCACAAGACTGGAGAGAAGGGATGAAATGGGAATTTCCCGTTCTGGTAAAATCCACAGTCAAGTCTCACAGTGTAATTGCTGTGTGACCTTAACAAGCAATTAAATCTAAGCTTCCTTAAATTTAGGAGGAAATAAACTTAGGAGGTACCCACCTCATAGGTTTATTGTGAAAAACCACACAATGCATGGTAAGCACATCATTCTGGCAGTGTGGCCTGTCCTGTGTCCATTTTCTCCACTACCCTGACACATAGTTCCCCTATCTTCTGGGTTGCATACATTGTAGAGCTCTCACTTATAGCTTACGGGTTTGTGGAATGCTTTTAGTTTTCAATTTATTAGTAAATCATTGCTGATTGATGTACTTAAGTTTGCAGAAATGGCCAAGTCCATTTCAAGCTGGATGATCATTTCTGGCTAGTGAAATGAACTGAACTCAGGGGAAATATGAGGCTCAGAAAGTACCTAGAGGGAGATAGAGCTCTTTGTCCTTCATGTCTCAGATCTTTTTTCTTTTTTTTTTGAAACGGAGTCTCACTCTGCCGCCCAGGCTGGAGTGCAGTGGCACAATCTCGGCTCACTGCAACCACCGCCTCCTGGGTTCAAGAGATTCTCCCAACTCAGCCTCCAGATTAGCTGGGATTACACGTGCCAGCCACCACGCCCAGCTAATTTTTGTATTTTTAGTAGAGACGGGGGTCTTACCATGTTGGCCATGCTGGTCTTGAACTTCTGACCTCAAGTGATACCCCCAACCTAGGCCTCCCAAAGTGCTGGGATTACAGGCATGAGCTGCTGTGCTCAGATCCATTCTTAACTCAAGTATGTGCTCCTTCAGTATTATTAGAGTTGTCTTTGCAAAGAGTAGAATCGATTCACCACTATAAGAAATGTTATTCCCCACAGGTTACTAAATGCTGGATTTCCCTCAAAAGAAGAAAATTCCCTCCAGAATCAGCATCAAAAAAAATTGAATGGTATCTGCATGAATTGTCTTTGGCCTTAGGTAACTCAGGAGGGAGGCGTTTCTCTTAAATGACAACTGAATAGGAATAAAAGTCCAGAGTCGCTATCATGAGTGTTCATAAAGATGCCTCAAAGACTTAAATGTGAACCTTTCTTCCTTTTCTTCTATCCGTGGTGTACTTTCAAATTTTGTTAAACAAATCCTTATAATGTTAACCATGTGCCAGGCACTGTTCCAAGGCTGTATATACACAAAATATAAAATGAAAATAACTCATTTAATCCTGATTACAAACATGAGGTAAGTACCGTCATTCTCATTTTTCAGATGAGATAACTAAAGCATCAAGAGTTTTTACCTTGCTGTAGGTCAGGTAGCCTTGGAGCTTGATGCACGGTCAGGCAGCCTGACACCAGAATCTATGCTATTAACTACCACAAGATTGTGCCTTTTAGATTTATAAAGTGGAAAAAGTTAAAGCTAAAACTTCTGGCATTTCACTCTATAAAGTTTTGCATTTTTACTTTTCAATTAAAAGTCTTCAAAATGTCTTAAGAGTTGCATGTATGTCCCGTCTGGGGAATATCACTTTTTCTCTGGGAAATGGAGGAGTATTATTTCATTGATGTAAGGAAAGAAAATGTTCAAGACTTGGAAATTACAGGTGTCTTTACAACTAAGGGCTGCACATTGTGTAGCTAATATTCTGGAGTAACTGATTTTATGAGGGTATGCATCTTTGACTTTTTATTGGGTAGACTAGTTTATAAATCTGTAAGGGTAGAAATAGTAGAGAACTGACAGTTACACGAAAGGTTTTTTTCTATATCAATGCAAATAAATCTTACTTCTTAGGGATAAAATTCATTTGTGCCAGATAGAAGAGATACTCTCAAACATTACATTTTGCTGTCCTATAAAGATATTACCTATTTATATCATTAGGAAATTTCTTTCACATTCCTTACTGTATATATGTCTGTTCTTCAGGCCCTTCTTTGAACTGATTCCCTCATTAGCTAGTGAGTTAAAGAATATCTTTAACAAGTTCATTTCATATTTGCATAAAATCATATTTTTAGCCTTTAAAAATTATACTTTAGCACAAATTAGTCAACAAGGAAGAGAACAGGACTGTCTACCTTGTGGACTACAAGTAGAAAAAACCTTAAATTAGTAGACAATTTCTCAAGCCTGCCAGAACTGTAGTTTCGTCTTTCTGATTCTGCTTCTCCCCTTATACTGTAATAGGATAGTGAGGAATCCTGTGCCTTTACAGGAGAAAGGAAAGGATGTACCATGTTTGGGCTGCATAAAGTTTCCCAGATTCACATTTTTGATGTTAATACTAGATTTGAGTCCCTGTGATAGGCATGAGGGATTCAAAGATGACTAGGAATCTATGTCTTCAAAGGCACAAAATATGGTAAAGACAAACAAGACATATAAACAAATTATAATGCAATGTAATAAGTAGATCAATAGAAGCATTTACAAAATAGAGGGGTAATTATATCTCTGCAAAAAGATTTGGGGGCCACAGAACATTTCCTATGGGAAACAACATTTGAGATGTGTTTTTAAAATATGAGAGGGATTTGTTAGGTGGAGATGTAGCTAAAGGGATTTCAGGTGGAAATGGAGCCTCCTCAAAGACTCACTAAAATAATATTTTTGTAAAATTGGAGCATAAAACAAAAAGGGAAAAGATGAGAAGGAGATACCAGGTCATTAACAAAATTTATTGTCATGAAACTTTATGTTTATCTCATAAATGATATGGCTTTATTGAAGGGATTTTAATAGGGATAAAGACCAAATTGCATCTTAGAATATCTTTTGAATGGAAATATAGAAGATAGGTCAGAAGTAATTAAGGCAATGTGCAGAGAAGAACAGCTACCATAGTACTGTACTAGTCCATGCAAAAAATACTAGAAACCTAAATTATAGACGTGGGGAAGACATGCGAGCAACAGCTAGAAGGGAGAAATCATAAGGTTTGGTGACTGCTTTGCATATGGAGTATGGCTGAAAAGGAATAGTATAGGGTGATTTTTTTAAGCATCTGGTTTAAGAAGTGACTTTGAATAGAGAAGGAAAATCTGGTTGCAGAAGAGATGGTGGTGTGATTGATGGAAAGGAAATAACTAGGTCTGTTGAAACTGGGGAGCCAGGGGGAGATGTCTAGTAGGTAACGGGATGGGGTCAAGGCCCAATAAAGGTGTCTGAACCAGAAATTAAAATGTTGAAGTGGTTAGTGTGTAGGTAGAAGGTCGCAACTTGGAAGTTAATGGGATATCTTAGGAGGACCATAAGTAATAGTCTTTCCAATATGTATCATCTCTGGGGTGATTTTCTAGATTATAGCATTATGGTATAAGAACATCAAAATATTTTAAGGAGGTCGTAATATACCATAGAAAAAGGATTTGCTGATTTATGCAAGACAGCTCCCAATCCATGAGGATTAAAATGTAAGCTCTTGTCTCTTCTTGTGTTAGTATATAAATATAATATCCGAGGATCACTTTTGTTTCTGGTCATATTGCAGTAACTAGTACTGGATTTTGCTTCTTGCTGTGATCAACTATAAAACTGAACAAAATGTATGAAAAAGATGGTTTCATTCATTGAGCACTAGGTAGTGTAGGAAATAGTCCAGGAAGGAAGAAAACGGATGGTGCAAGCCCCCAAGTCTTGCCTGCTTTCTCCCTTTAGGTAATTTCCAGGACACAGCACAGGGGAAAGGAACCAAGTAGAATGCAGTGGTCTCACTGAGTTGAGAGATAGAGATTAAAGTTCAGGGAGTTAGAGGTGGCTATAATTTTCAGGGAAAAGTAAGGAAGAGGAGGAAGTTACATAGAGAATGCACTCCAGAAATTGGGAGAGAAGACCCCTTGAGTCTGCTGATGAATACTGAACTGCATATGCACCACCAAGGAACTGTAGACTGAACAATTCTCAGAGATTACATAGGGCTAGGAGAGGTTTGAATTTCATCCAGCCTGAATGGCAAGATGTCTTTTAACACCTGGGGAAATCAGTGAAGCCACTTTAATAGTAGGACTCAGTTATTCCTACAGATAAGGGTACACTAGACCCACCCTAAACAAAACTTAAAATCAAACTTTGAAAAGATCAAACTGATCTGTAAATCACTTGACTAATCCCAACACTTTGGGAGGCTGAGGTTGGAGGATGGCTTGAGCCCAGGAGTTTGACACCAGCCTGAGCAACACAGGGAGACCTTGTCTCTACAAAAAATTAGCCAATAGCAGTGGCACACACCTGTGGTCCCAGCTACTTGGGAGGCTGAGTTGGGAGGATTGCTTGAGCCTGGGAGGTCAAGGTGAGCCATGATCATACCACTGCACTCCAGCCTGGGTGACGGAGCAAGACCCTGTCTTACATATATATAAATATATATATATATATAAAAATATATTTCTAAAATATATATATTTTAGAAACATTTATTGACTTTTTTCTATATATGTAGAGAAATAATGTGTACTTATATTTATTTATATTTATAAAATGTAATCTTATATAAACATAATCTTATATTATTAAACATTATAAAATTTATATAAACATTTATATTTACATAAATAAATCTCTCTAAATATATATATACTTACATATCGAGAGAAGACAATGGAGTGACACATTTAATATGTTGAAAGAAAAAAGGCATTATCGATTTAGAATTCAATATCTAGTGAAAACAACTTCCAAAAATAAAAAATGGTGCAGACTTTTTCAGACAAGCAATAATTGAGAGAATTGACTGTCAGAAGACAATTCTGTTAAGAATTGTTAAGGGAAGTTATTCCCTTAAGAAATGTTAAGGGAAGTTCTTCAAGTAGAAGGAAAATGGTAATGACTGGTAACGTATCAATACAAAGAAACGAAGAGCATCATAATGAGTAAATATATAGGTAAATATAAAAGGCAGTTTTCTATGTTTAATTATTAAAAATAACTATGTGAAGCAAAGAAATAAAAATGTGTTATGGAGTTGACAGGATATATACAAGTAAAATAAATGTATGACAACAATAGCACAAAGGATGTGAGGAAAAATATAGATGTGAGAAAAAATATAGATGTGAGATTCTTATAGGTATAATTGAAGTGGTATAATTCTATATGAAGGTAAACTCTGAAAAGATAGAGATAAAAATTTTAATTCTAAAAAAATCCACTAAAAATAGACAAAGAGGTATAACTAATAAGCCAATAATGTTGATATAATGGAATACTGAAAATTATTCTATTAATCCAAAAGAAGATCTGAAAAGAGGAAAAAGGAAGAAAGAACAGATGGGACAAATAGGAACAAATAGCAAGCGAATAGATCTCAGTCCAATCATATCTATAATTACATTAATTATAAATTGTCCAAACACTCTAATGAAATGAGATTGTCAGACTGAAACTATTTCCTGTCTCTAAGAAAACCACTTTAAATATAATGACATTTATTTTAAAAGTAAAAGGATGAAAATAATATACCATGCAAACACTAATCATAAGAAAGATGGAATGGGTACATTAATAACAGCTAAATTAGATATGAAACTGGTTTTCCTAATGTGGTTCCTTATCCAGGAGCATCAATAAATCAGGAACTTATTAGAAATGCAAATTTCAGGTCCCATTTTAGACTTACTGAATCAATTTAAAATTGAAGTCCAGAAGTCTGTTTCATCAAGCAAGCCCTCCGAGTGACTTTGATTCATGCTACAGTTTGAGACTCACTGTATACAGAGGAGCATTTCATAATTATAAATGTATCAATTATTTAAAAAGACCAAAGTATCCAAGATGAATTTGGATACCAGTGCTGCTACTCATCTGACCACATCACTTTGTGAAGGTCACTTAATCTGCTGAATCTTGGTTTACTCATCTGTGAAGTGTGGCTATTAAATGCTAGAGATTTCATATAATATATGTATGTATCTATACCACTGACACATACATAAAACAGTGACTGATAAATGTACTGTTAGAGTTGTGCAATGATTTGATACGTTCATATTGAATCTCTCCTGTCATACCAGTGGCCCCCTCTGCACATTCGCTCCTCATGTCTTTTTTCCTTAACTGCCGCACTCTTGGTCTTATATACAAATCCTAACTACCTTTCTAGTAACAAGCAAGTCCAGACTTCACTGGTCTTCATCTCCCCAGATGTACTTTTTATATCTCATATTTTGGTTCTTAAGTAGATAATAGTTCCTCCCTTTAAAAAATTCATATATACTTTATTTTTGTAATATTTGATAATACTAAGTATAGTTGTAGCATTTTATATGTTTGAATGCTTAATAAAGTTATAAAACATTATATGAATATACTACAATTTATCCACTCTACTGTCCAATGACCATCTGGGTTATTTCTGGTCTTTTGCTATTACAGATGAGGCAGTAGATTTCCATCCAACTTACAAAACATAAATGCAAGAGTTTCTGTATGGTATATTCCTAAATGTGGAATGACTACATTTTGGAATTATCAAATGTTTAACTGCTCGGGCAGCTATGATGTTAAACAACTACTGCTGATTGTTTTTGACAAATGACCTGGGAAAATGTTGATTGCACTGGGTGTGTTCTGAATCAGGTTAAATAAAAACAAGCCTTGTGAGTGGTGTTTTCCAGGAAACCGGCAGACAGGTCAAATAATGACAATTCTTCGGATAGGGCTTTGAAAGAGCTCTTACCTTATTTGGATGCCAGCAGCTGCTAGGTTGCTTGTTTTCATTGTAATTGTGGGTTGTTCATTTACAAGACCACCGTTGAGCAGCTCTCTGAACATTGAGCCACTTTTTTTGCTGCCAAGATTGTTGTATGCAGTTGATTCATTTTCAGGATTCTGAAAAAGTTGATTTTGACTTTTTGTTTCTGCCAATGTTCTTGTTTTTATGGAAAAGGACATTTTAAAGGTCCTTACTCTACCATCCCAGCTGACATCATTTGAAATTAATTTTGATGTACTTAAATTAATCAGCCTATTATTCTACAGTGCCATGTTTAAGAAGTTCTTTTCTGTCACAGGCTGCTGAAAATATGGCAAGCTGACTTTCTGGAGAAATTCTGATGATACATACAAGCTCTGCAAGAGGATTTGAAGATTGTGTTGTAGTCAAGAATGTACAATGAAATTACTGTATGCATCAGTGTAGAAAAAAATTCCTTTTTAAAAGAATTATAAAACCATAGCTTTATAAATCAGTGGACAGTGGCTTACAGAGAGATCTATCAGATGTGTTTACATCACATCTTATCCACTTTTTTTTTTTTTTTTTTTGAGACAGAGTCTCACTCTGTCACCAGGCTGGAGTGCAGTGGCACGATCTCAGCTCACTGCAACCTTCACCTCTCAGGTCAAGTGATTCTCCTGCCTCAGCCTCCTGAGTAGCTGGGATTACAGGTGCCAGCCACCACACCTGGCTAATTTTTGTATTTTTAGTAGAGATGGGGTTTCACCATGTTGGCCAGTATGCTCTCGATCTCTTGACCTCATTATTCACTTTTTTTTAACGGCTCAAATCCTTTGGCATTGCTATGTTCATATTTGTGTATTCCTTTTTTATAGCTCTGATAGCTTTAATTTTCTAAGCAGTCTGTCTATCAGATATGCACATCTACTGTGCTTGAAGTATAGTGCAACTCATCAGTAATAATGTGTACTAGTTATGACTTGTTGACATTTCCACTATAAACTTTAATTTTGAATTGTTTATGCATTATAACTGTGGATTTCTATAGTATTGGACTGAAAGTTGACAGGATTTCAGCCACCACTTATGAATTTTGATTTAGATTCATTATGTGTATCAGAATCTTCTTTTTTTTAAATAAGAGATGGAAAGCATTTCTTGTAATCTGCTCTTTAACAAAGAATTTTTTTTAAACAGTTTGTTGGGCAGCTGATAGTGTGAACCAGGTCATTTTTGTATTAAGTAAAAATAAAACTTTGAGAAACTTGAATTTTAAAAGTAATGACAATGCTTACGTTAGTATTATTTGTAATATGAATCATTTACATCTAATAAGAATGTTAGTTGAGAATGTTTCCTTAAAGTTTTATACCCTATAAATGAAGGCCCAGGAAAAATAACGTATAAGATGAAACAGCAAACGCTTAAAATTCCTGCTTATTTTATTAGATAAAAGTAATTTGAGTGCTTACCTAATTAAAAAAAAAAGATTGTAGTTGTTTCATGGTGAAACAGTCCTTCAGAATATATCGTCTGCTATATTGCAGGAAGTGAAGGTGTGGCTTGTCTCAACCTGTTGCAAATATCTTGAAAGGCAGAGTTCCGGGCAGTGACTGGTTATACAAAGTCCACAATTTTGATAAGTTAGAAAATCTGCTCTGTGACTCACTGTGTGATCTTAGACAAGTTATTGACCTCTTTGACTCTCAGGGAAAACAATACCTGCCTTTTAGATTTGTTCTGAGAATTAAGTAGGTAAAGCCTCTGACACTTAGTAGGCTGAAATAAATAAAGAAAGAAACTTATTTCTTCACATCTCAACTTCTTCTGGACCCAGAATTTCCCAGTTTTGCTGCTCTCCTCCTCACTAAGTACATTCATCCCCTAATAACCACTCTGACTTGTCGAGAAGGAAGAGAACTCATGTGGTCACTCTTCGTTTTCCCCATATTGCCCTCATTCCCAACTGCTTAAGCCCATCCAAAGTTAGACATAACTCATTTTTTTTTGGCCCTCATTCTAGCTATCTGATGGCTATGAATAATCATGTTTATTATTTTCTGAGAAGTTCTTACATAATTTCTGTTACCTATATCAAGCCCATAAAATAGACATTTAAATGGCCATTTTTAAGAGTGAAGAAAAAGGGGCACAGAGAAGATAAGCAATTTGTTTGGTGTCAGAGCTACTGAGTACAGAAACTAGGATTCTAACTGGGGGCTGTTTAACCCCAAAACCCATGCTTTTTCTACTATAGCACTTAGATTCTTTTGGCTGATAATCTTGTAGTTAACAAGGAATATGTTTTGATACTATTTGGCCCAATTATTAGGTACAAAATGTAAAAGTTGGTAAATTATCAACATCCTCTGTAATTTTTGGAGCAGTCAAGTTACCATGAGAATACTAAGAGAGATGTGAACGTAAGTGAGGTTTGAGGAGAGGTTTTTCCACTTATTCTCTAAATTCATGATCTTGAACAGCATGTTCCCATCTTATAATTGAATAAAATATGACTTTCAAAACAAAAAAGGATTGTGAAATGTGTATCAAACCACAAAGGTACTGGATTGGATGTGTATGCTCAGAACCTTAGAGTTGGATTTTGTTGACGTTGATGAGTGCTTACAAATTCACAGTCAGAAAGATTTTGTTCTTTTCCCAGGATTTGGAATATTTACTAATCTTCGTGAATGAGGAGGCTTTGTATTTTTGAATCATAGTGACACATAATGACTGCACATAGACTTGGGTCCTAACTGGGTCACATTCGGGCAGCACCAGTGGAAGATGATGGGCAGAGAAGACCAAGCTTAAAGAGAGGGGAAGGAAGTTAGAAAAATGATGAGAGGTACCCCGAAAATTGATGCTAATTATCCATTAGACACTGAGTTAAGAGACATTTCCAGGTTTCTGTTTTCAAGAATATGAAAATTTGAAAGATAAAATTTATAGAAAGGGTTAAGTCCAGGCCAAGAAAGTGTTATAAACAGATAAGAAGCAGGAGTTGAGATAAGTCTAAAGACTGCAAACTCTTATTTCTGTTTGTTCTGGTTTTGATTGGACAATGTTTGTACATCTCTGCTACTTACCGTCTACGTGAACTTGAATAAACCTTTTGACTTTTTCTGATCAATTTATTTATCTGTGAAATGGAGATATAATCTTTACCTTGCAATGTGGGTGTAAAGATTAGACATAATATATGTAACGTGTTGGGTACATAACTGATGATCAATATATGGTGGTTTTCCTCTTTCTTAAAGGACAGTTGTATATACATATAACTTATATATATGTGTGTGTGTGTGTGTGTTTTCATATATATATATATATATATATGTTGGGCATGGTGGCTCATGCCTGTGATCTCAGCACTTTGGGAAGCTGAAGCGGGTGGATTGCTTGAGGCCAGGAGTTCAAGACCAGCCTGGACAACATAGTGAAACCCTGTCTCTACTAAAAATACAAAAAATTAGCCTGGCGTAGTGGCACATGCCTGTAACCTCAGCTACTCAGGAGGCTGAGGCATGAGAATCGCTTGAACCCAGGAGGTGGAGGTTGCAGTGAGCCGAGATCATGCCACTGCACTCCTGCCTGGACAACAGAGCGAGACTCTGTTTCAAAAAAAATAAAATAAAATGAAATAAAAAATAAGTTATATATATATTTATGTTCTTAAAGGACAAGTTATATATATATAACTTGTGTGTGTGTGTGTATATATATATAATATATATAGTGTGTACATATATATAATAGTGTGAACCAGTTCACTTTTGTATTAAGTAAAAAACAAAACTTTGAGAAACTTGAATTTTAAAAGTAATGACAATGCATAGATATATATATATTGTGTTCTTTAAGAAAGGAGAAAACTATCATGTATATATATGTGTACATGTATGCATACACATATGTAGACATATACACACATATATGTGTGTATATAAACGTATATATGTCTGTTTGACCACATTACACACTCTGAGAAGATTCAAAGTCATTAATTACCAAAAACTATAAAATATAATGAAAGTTTAGAACCCTGGTTCCATTCTTTCCACCACATGGGTTAATGTGGAATAAGCTGGCTCACCAACAGCAGCTCTATGGAGTTGTATGAGTGAGCTCTGCCTTGGTGTACATCCAATCTTAATTTTAGCTGTTACTACAACACAAACTTTCATTCTGTCATTCTTACATAATGTGACCCATTCAAAGGATGTGTCAGCATTCATGAAGTCATGACTCAGAAGACGATGAGCTGTGTCAGAGCTGAGGTGAAGCGGCGCCTAGGACCATTACCACAGATTTGTCAGGGCAACGAGCATTACTGGTTAAAACTATTTGAAGAAATCTAACCTCTGGAATGAAGCACTTATGAATTCCGGAGTTTAAGCAAAAATTATGTGAGTAGCAAAAGAAGAGGTCATTGAGCCAAGGAAATACCCAGGACTCATCCTTTACAGAGATGCTTAAGCCATGGAATTAAGAGACAATTTTACAGTGAGAAACTGAATGTACAAATGGACAACTGCCAGATCATATATATATAACTTTGACCCACAACCTGCGGCAAACTGCCCAGGAAACCAATCCTCTTGTCTACAATAAATAGGCGAATTTATTGTCTACAATAAACAGGCCAGCCTGCTGCAAGTCAGATTTGCACACTGCCAGATTGTTACCTCTAGTGACAATCCAGGAAGCTAAACAATAACTTCTATCACAATTGGCCCCAAATGACCAAGAGTTGATTAATAACTGACAGCATCCCTAATTTTTGTCCCTGCTTCCAACTTAGAGAAAGATATGCCCTCCTAACCAATCACACAGGATGCCTACAGCTAGTTAGCCTCCCTATAGCATCCCCATTCCAAAGCCTCCAGTTTATCCCCATTTTTTTCCACTATAAAGCTTTCCTTCTCCTTCACCTGTCTTTGAGTCTCTGCCAAAACACAAGCAACAGTAGCTGACACCCTTGCTATGGCAAGCTCTGAATAAACAGCCTTTGCTTCTTCCTATTTAGTTGGTCTTTGTTTATTTCCACACCAGACAAAGATCTGCCAAGTCATAAAGAAAGGACCCCAACCTTAACTACAGACTAGCTCATTCCAATTCTTCCCAATTCACAAGCCTCAATGCCAAGCCATGCCTTTCTACTCTTGCCTGTCCTTTTTCTGTCTGTAATATCACTTTCCTTTCTTAATTCTTTTTACTTATATCTGCAGTCCTTCGGGTTGCCCTTGTGCCTCACTTGGAAGATTATAACAGCCCCTGAAATAGTCAACTTCATTTGCTTCACATTCTAATCCATCTCAATCACTGCCACCAGATAAATCTCACAGAAACACAGTTCTGATGTCATTTATCTGATCAAGAGCAACACATAGAAAATTTTCAGTCTAAGAGGACAATTCCTTAGTAGCCACTGAAGCAGCCTTTCCCAAACTTGCACTAGAGCACATAAAATGAAAAGCTTTTTTTAAGAATGATTTTTCCAGTTTTTATAAAAACAGTGAAGTTATATTAGAAAAAATATTCAGAAGCCTGTCTATGTTTGTCTCACGAAACCTGAAGAACCTCTTGTCATCTGAAAGATCTAGAAAGATATTTGTTCTCAGGGTCCAGGACATATATTTTTCTATCAACTATAATAGAAAACACTGAAGCTGTATCTCTACTGAACAGGTTTTGATATTGGAAGAGAGAAAAACGATTGTGAACTGAGTGTCATATTCACCTAAGATATTTCCCATAGGATATTTTAACAAAAGACATTCTCAGACATGCTGGAATCAGTAAATTTCACTCCTGAACCACCTTTGGAAAACGTTTACATAAAGACACACAATTGCCAACTGGCTAAAAGCGAACATTTCCAGAATGCATAGGTCAGGCTATGAAAAGCTTAATGGAGCTACGTTTACTGAACTTGTTTGAAAAAGTCAGTTTTCTGATTGAAAAGTGTCTTTTCAGGATTTGACAGCCTGGAGTTAAGCTTTATCCGTAATGTTTTTCATACCTGTTCTCCTGCTTCCACTCTAATCCTCATATGAGAAAAATTGTTTATCAAGCATCATTATTTTACCCTACAACCAGATGAAATATACTGCCTGTTGGAGAACCACTGAAAACTTTATGTTACTCTGTTTTACATAACTGGAATATTTGTGCCAAGAATATTACAAAATGCTCTTTCCCTCCATAAAAACAGAGTTGCCTGGAGCCACATAAAAGCTATTGTCATTCTCAAAGTATTTAAGTGATAGATTTCAACATTTTTACCACTCATGTGGAGTGATCTGAGTCATTATGCTTTTATAAATGAAAAAAGACTGAGCCATCACGTGCAGAAATTACCTGTGCCTCATCCCTTTTCTATTCTAATTCCCCTTCCAACTAGAATGTTTGAAAGTTTCTATGGCAAATAGGCATAAAAATCAGAATATATAGTCTGATTTCAACTATGAAAACCTATGTGATATGAAAAAGTGCTCAACATCACTGATTATCAGAGAAATGCAAATCAAAACTACAATGAGATATCATCTTATCCCAGTAAAAATGGCTTTTTTCCCAAAAAACAGGCAATAACAAATTCTGGCAAGGATGTGGAGAAACGGGAACCCTCATACATCCTTGGTGAGGATGTAAATTAGTACAACCACCATGGACAACAGTACGGAAGTTTCTCAAAAAACTAAAAATAGACCTACCATATGATCCAGCAATTCCACTACTGAATATTTATCTAAAGGAAATGAAATCAACATGTCAAAGAGATATTTACACTTCCATGTTAACTGCAGCACTATTCACAATAGCCAAGATTTGGAAGCAACCTGTGTCCGTCAACAGATGAATTGATAAAGAAAACATAGTACATATACACAGTGGAGTCCCATTCAACCATGAAAAAGAACGAGACCTGTCATTTGCAACAACATTGACGGAACTGGAGGACATTACATTAAGTGAAATAAGCAAGGCACAGAAAGACAAACTTCACATGTTTTCACTTATTTGTGGGATCTAAAAATTAAAACAATTAAATTCATGGAGATAGAGAGTAGAATGAGGGTTACCAGTAGCTGAGAAGTGTAGTGGGGGGTAGTGGGAGTGGGTATGGTTAATGGGTACAAAAATATAGTTAGAATGAATATTATATAGTATTTGATAGCACAACAGGGTGACTACAGTCAACAATTTATTGTACATTTTAAAATAACTAAACAATAAGTTGGAATGTTTGTAACACAAGGAAGTGATCAATGCTTGAGGTGATGAATACCCCCATTTACCCCAATGTGATTGCTACATATTGCATACCAGTATCAAAATATTTTATTGTTAGGCATAGTGGCTCATGTCTGTAATCTTAGCACTTTGCGGGGCCAAGGTGGGCAAATCACTCAGGCCTAGGAATTTGAAACCAGTCTGAGCAACATGGCCCTATAATTCAGATGGAATATGTTGCCTTGTTAGTACTTCTGTCCAGCTAGTGATATTCAAAATTGTGGAAAATATAGATGAAATTTTATAAACTCCCATGATCAGCATGATGTGAAAAAGAATACACAGGTATAAAGAAATTAGAGGAAATACATAGTTAATACTGTTAGTAGTGTTTTTCTTTTTGGGTCATGACTATAAAAGATTTATTTTCTTCTTTGTACTTTTTTATATATTCTAAATTTTCTATAATAAACATTTAACGTTTTATTTAAGTATGTAAAATTTATTTAAAATGTTTTGTAGAAACTAGTGTATTAGTTTGTTTTCACACTGCTGATAAAGACATACCAGAGACTGGAAAGAAAAAGAGGTTTAATATGGACTTACAGTTTCACGTGGCTGGGAAAGCCTCACAATCATGGCAGAAGGTAAGGAGGAGCAAGTCATGTCTTACGTGGAAGGCAGCAGGCAAAAAAAGTGCTTGTGCAGGGAAACTACCATTTTTAAAACCATCAGATCTCATGAGACTCATTCACTATCATGAGAACAGCGCAGGGAAGACCCACCCCCATAATTCAATCACCTCCCACTGGGTTCTTCCCACGACATGTGGGAATTGTTGGAGTTACAATTCAAGATGAGATTTGGTTGGGGACACAGCCAGACCATATCACATGGCTTTCCACCAACAATGGAATAAGCTCTAAGCACCTTAGCTACAGACTAATGGTCTTCTATGACTGGACTCCAACCTATCTTTTCACAACTTTATTTTTTATTTTCCATTATTACCCTTCACATACCTTTTATTTCAATAAAAAGTAACTCTTTGACGTTTTCCATATAGAGTCTTTCTTGACTCTGCATACTTGTATACTCTGTTACTGAATTTTCCTCCATTTCCACCCTTGTTCTTAGCCAAAAGGCCAAGAAGCAATTTTCCTCCATTTCCAGATCATTCCAGGCTCACTTTATCTGCTACTTTATCTATGAGTTTTTTCTAAAGGAAACACCTAAAGTAAGCAAGCACCTTCTGCTTAATTCGTGTACAACTTTTTACTTTTTTTTTTTTTTGAGACAGGGTCTTGCTCTCTTGCCCAGGCTGGAGTGCAGTGGCACCATCACAGCTCACTTCCAGGGCTCAAGTGATCCTCCTGCCTCAGCTTCCCAAATAGCTGGGACTACAGGTGTGCACTGCCACAAGTGGCTAATTATTTTTATTTTTTCGTGGAGCTGAGGTCTCCCTATGTTGCCTAGGTGGGTCTTCAACTTCTGGGCTCAAGCAGTCCTCCTATCTCAGTCTCCCAAAGTGCTGAGGTTATAGGCAGGAGCCACCATACCAGGCTTATTTCTTATAGAATTAATTATATAGGGGATTCTTTCCTTGGCTAGGTTATATTCTCTCCTTCCCTCCTTCCCTCCCTCCCTCCCTCCTTCCCTCCCTCCCTCCCTCTTTTCCTTCCTTCCTTCCTTTCTTCCTTCCTTCCTTTCTTCCTTCCTCTACCTTCTTCCCTTCCTTCCTTCCTATACCTCCTTCCCTTCCTTCCTTTCTTCTTTCTTTCCTGCTTTTAAACAGCTAGTTTGTTCACTTTTTTTTTTTTACTAAAATTTTCTAAACTTTATCTCCAAATCTATACTCTTAGTTTGGGTATTCTGAAGCCCTTGAGACTCAGATACTTGATAAATGAATGTATAGCTGAAATAATGATTATATCAGTTATCAGCTAGAGGTAGCAAGGATCCTGCACAATCATGTCTGATTAGTCATGGAGAAGTGTGACAAATAGGAAGACAAATGTGAAAAGTTACGAGATAGAATGTTACCTGGGATCACTGCCAGTTTTTAAATCCAAGGATTAGATTGAATGTAAATTTAATTCTAAGCCGCTGATCCCTGGGAGGTCAGATTTATAAAACTAGCCATTATCTGACCCTTGTATTTATTTAACCATATAACAAATGATTGTTCTGTGGAACAGTCATTTTGATTTCTTGCTGGAAATGCCCACTTTTTTTCCGCTAGTATTCAGTTCCTCCCTCTACACCTGGAGTGTTTGCTCTCCTCCTCCCCTCTCCTCATCTTCCTCCCCCTTTCTCTTCTCCCTCCTTCTCCCTCCGTTCCTTCTTACACTCAGTTGCTCTTTAATTTTACCTATTCCTTCTCATTACTGCATTGATTTTTAAAACATACTCTACAAAATGCAATTTGACTGTCTCATGCACGGTTAGAAAACTTCTGGTTCTACAAGATTAGTTTGAGTGTTCTGCAGACATATGAATGAGGACTTCAATTATATATTAGAGAGATTTTAGATGATAGCTTGATCTTTTCTTGTGGAAATACAACTTCTAAAAAATTTAGTTTTTAGAGTATTTAGTATATATGACATGTAGAATCTGCAAATCTAGAAATGTCTGCATGATTTTTGGATTTTTTGACTTTTAATTTACCTGTTTGACATTTGCTATGAGCCTTTCACTCATAACTAATATATTATTTAGTTCTCTAAGTAATTTTTGGTTACCTACTATATATCAGATACCATGCTAAGTACTAGGAATACAGAATCAAATGAGGCATGGTCCATACCCTCAAGTAGCTTACATTAGAATGAGAGAGACAGATAAACCATTTCACTACAGTTCAGTGTGGAAAATAGAGTAGCAGAGGCAGGTACAAGGTACCATTGAACAATGATTAATGACTCTTCCTGGGACTTGGGAAACATCTTTCAGGGAAGTCGTCGAAGCTGTTTTAAAATATAGCAAACTTTTGTATTTAGTTCAGGAACAGCATGGCCCATTTTGCCAATCACATCTTAACAGTTGGAAAAGCAAACATATTATCTATCAGGCTTTCCTCTAAACTTTAAATATGTTTTATAAGTTATAACTCCAGAGAAAATTTACAAAGGATAAACCTTAATATAGAAGGAATTAGAGCTGCCACAGCTTCTACACTTTTAACCTCTCAATATTTTATCTGTTGGGCTCCACTGTTTCTTCCTGGAATTCACATCACTGCCACCACTCTGTTCTCCTTGTCCTCATATCAATGTGGCCAAATATTTTCCCTGTATTTCAATCAGGACAAGACATGGTTTTTCCCCCCATCAAAGGAATGGAGAACCATAGAATACTAGTTTTAAAATGTCTTTAGGCCAGGTGCCGTGACCCATGTCTGTAATCCTAGCACTTTGAGAGGTTGAGGCAGGAGAATCACTTGAGCCCAGAGCTCGAAACCAGCCTGGGCAACATAGTGAAACCTCTGTCTCTATTTTTTAAATAAAATTTGAAAAAGTCTTTAGACATAATCTAGTCTAAAAATGAAGGCTTAAATGTGATGTATAGCCCCCTGCCAAGTGGCTATCAACTGTGTGGGCATCTTCAGTCATAGGGATCTTATTGCCACAGAGAAATCCCTTTAAACTTATTGGGTAAAATCTCTCCAATGTTTATTAAGAAACACACAAAAAATAAAGCAAAGAAGAAAATGCAAAAGAGTTATAAATGAGAGGAAGCAAAATGGGCACTTATTAAAGGTCTAATAAATGCACATTTGTATCCATCATTCTACTGAGTTCTTACTCCCAAGATGTTCTTCCCTTTAGCAAACAAATAAGCAAGTCAGCAAAGAAAGAAAGAACAAACAAAATGTGGTGATCAGGGAAGCATTGAGGAGATGGATGGTGGCAGGTGGCAAGAGGACTATAAAAGTTTTACAAAATGTCTTCCTCTGAATATGTTTAGAGTCTTGCATTCAAGCATTTATTATACACCAATAATGTGAGCAACACTTTACTTGACAAAGAAACAGAAAAGAAAGGAAAGGAAGAAAACAGAAGAGCATGAAGAGAAAATTTAGGATGGATTCTGTTCTTCAACTTCAAAGCATCTGCTAATTTGAATTTAGGGAGGAGGGGAAAAGGTTGAAAGAGAATAAGACATGTGTAGAAGACAAGGACAGAGAGAATTTCAGTCCGGTAAGCAATGTAATTCATTTCAATTCTACAACTATTTATGGAGCAGCTACGTGGGCCCATCACCCATTAATAAATTGGTTACAGAATTAAAACCAACCCAAAGGGAATATACTTCCTTCTTTTTCACAGACCCTCTTTGTTCTATTCTGCCCATGAGGTTTTCCTCCTCAAGAACCAGCAAATCCAACGACAGTCAATAGCAGGCATTACAAATCAGATTCAGAAAAATAAATCACCCCTTCTAAATTTCTTCTAGATATTATCTTTTATGTTTTGAGTATAATTGTATATAGTATAGACTATAGCTATGTATGTACACTTTCCACTTACATCTTTTATTTGCTTTTATAATGTGTTTCTTAAAATAAAACTGCTTTTAGAAGTTCTGCACAATTCTGATTTTTACCAAGTCAACCTACTTCTTCTCTCAAAAGGACAAACATAAATTGTCTAGTGAATTCCAGTCAATTTTTCCAGAAGAAAAAAAATGCTCCAGTTTTCTCCTCTACCAAGACAGGAAGCACTTCCTGGAGATTAATCACTGTGTTGCCTTGCAAAATTGGGAAGGTTGAGAGAAATTAGTAAAGTAGGTTGTATCATCCTACTTTGAATTTGGAATGTTTGGAAATGGTCCTGCTGCCATTTGGATGAAAGCAAGGATGAGTCAAGCTGCGGGTGATCCAAACAAACACTGTCACTCTTTAAAAGCTGCGCTCCCGAGGTTGGACCTACAAGGAGGCAGGCAAGACAGCAAGGCATAGAGACAACATAGAGCTAAGTAAAGCCAGTGGAAATGAAGAGTCTTCCAATCCTACTGTTGCTGTGCGTGGCAGTTTGCTCAGCCTATCCATTGGATGGAGCTGCAAGGGGTGAGGACACCAGCATGAACCTTGTTCAGGTAATTAACACTAACTGACCTGGCCAGGTGGGGAGCTTCCAGAGTAAGCTGAAACCATTCTGTGTGTCTTAAAACCCACATAGAATGCTTGAGCTTACTGTGTAGGAACAGTTCAAGAATAGAGAGTTATAGAGTGTTGGAAGTGGAAAAGGTCTCATTATCACACCATTTGGGCTTCTCCTCTTATGTAGGAAGAAACAAAGGCCAGAAATATTAGGTGTTTTCTTAAGATCACACAACACCATAGCAGTAGCAGCACTGGGGCTTAAGGCACATGAGTAACAAGTGGAGAGTGGATGAACCATATCTTGCTTTGGAACAGCTTCAGTTTTTTTTTTAATGCAACGTAATTTTAGCTAAATATTTGTGTTGCTAGTATCATATTATAAAATTTGCCATTATTTCAGCAAGCTAGAGAAATACTCCAAATAGATTAAGAAGTGAGCAACTGCAAAAACTTACTATAAATAGATAGCTATAGTAAAAATTGTAAGAGTGACCTAAAAACTATACTTATTCTGTTAGAAATATCTAGAAAACTACTACGACCTCAAAAAAGATGTGAAACAGTTTGTTAGGAGAAAGGACAGTGGTCCTGTTGTTAAAAAAATCCGAGAAATGCAGAAGTTCCTTGGATTGGAGGTGACGGGGAAGCTGGACTCCGACACTCTGGAGGTGATGCGCAAGCCCAGGTGTGGAGTTCCTGATGTTGGTCACTTCAGAACCTTTCCTGGCATCCCGAAGTGGAGGAAAACCCACCTTACATACAGGTAATGGTTCAGAGGGGTTTTCACATAAGATTGGAATTTTATAAACTATATCATAGGAGAAAATAGCATCTGCTTCAATTTTTCTCCTACAGGATTGTGAATTATACACCAGATTTGCCAAAAGATGCTGTTGATTCTGCTGTTGAGAAAGCTCTGAAAGTCTGGGAAGAGGTGACTCCACTCACATTCTCCAGGCTGTATGAAGGAGAGGCTGATATAATGATCTCTTTTGCAGTTAGAGGTAAAAAAAAAAAAAAAAAAAAAAAAGCAAAACAAAACAAAACAAAAAACACATGAAATGTATCCATTCATCTATCTGGTGTTGTTGTACTGGAAAAGGCTCAAAAGGGATCCTTGTTACATATCTTTCCAATAAATTTTTTTCCTACTAGAACATGGAGACTTTTACCCTTTTGATGGACCTGGAAATGTTTTGGCCCATGCCTATGCCCCTGGGCCAGGGATTAATGGAGATGCCCACTTTGATGATGATGAACAATGGACAAAGGATACAACAGGTTAGTTACACATCTCTCAGAATGATTTTGGCATTAATTTTTTTATATGTAGAAATCTGTTAATAACCAAGAATGCTCAAGAAATGAGATGTTCTGGATTTTCCAGTGGATCAGAGATCAGCAGAATATATTTTTGTTTTAATTATTATTGAAAATATTTTCAGATGCTTTAACAGTTTTCCTATATTGGTAAGCACAATATAGGAAATATCATTAAGTATTTCTTTAATGACTGGATCTTTGTGATCTAGGGGTAACCATTATTAAGAAAAATTTCTCATATCAAAATACAAACATTCAAGGGATAGTATATTGCACTGAATCTACATTAAAATGTGCTCTGGATGTTACTTATGTAATTTCCTCCATTTACTTCTTTACTCTTCAAACCAGAAATAAGAATTAAATTTCAGAAACTGAGATTCTCTTTTTTTTTTTTTTCTGGCTGAGGCATTATTTTAGTACTTTTAGGTTAAAAGAATTTTTATGGGCTTGTTCTGAAGGAAAAGACTAACTCCCAAATACAACGTTCAAACTGTTTAGGTAGAAGAATGTTTCTCAGTTCATAACTGTATGTTTTGGGGAATGACATCCAAAGTTTTCAAAAAAATCAGCTAAAACAATTAACACTACTTCTAAAAAAATAGGAAAACAATTAATACTATGTCTGAGGTTTAACTGGGATTTATAATGAAAATGTAAACCTCTGTAGGACGTACAAATGTGAGTTTAGTCCTGGATAGAATTCTTGATTGGTTGAGTTAACGAATTCTTGTAAAGAAACCTTCCTGCAAACTCTCAAATGAGATTGTTCCTAGCATCACAAGTTACACAAGTAATACTAGCAAAAGTAAGGTAGATTTACTTACTATATTGATCATAATTACCCAATGCCTCCCAATTTTAGCATTATGGGTGTTTTTAAAAATATGAAGGAAAAAATTTTGAATAAAGCCAGTGTTTATGTATTCTAAATCTGTTGTGTGACAAATGCTAGACATGATTGGGCATACTGTGTTTTAAACCAATTTTGCAAATCCTATGACATCTATCATTATTCATGTTTTTAGTCTCAATATGTACTTCATGATGATGAGGCTGAGACATTATCAATTAACATGAATATAGTTTCCTTTAACTGAGACTGCAAATGGCAAATGTAAATATATTAAAACAGTGTTTAGCTTTGCATTGACAAATGAAGGTAAATATCTGATATGCTAAGCAAGTGGGTTCATTCCATTCCTGAGTACAAGAAAAGGGATCTGGTTCTTCTGGAGTTAATATGCTTGTGAGGCTGGGGGTGGGTTTGGGGCCATGGGGGGCAAGTGGATGTAACTGGGAAATCAATCTCAAAGATTGATTACAGGTATGAGTTTTAAAATACACTTAGCTTTCCATTAAGTGTGTAATTAGTCAATTGTTCAATTAACCAACAAACAAGGTGTAAAAAGCCCTGTGTGGTTCCAAGAAGTAAAAACCAATACAATGCACAGCAGACCTGTGTAATGCACATGTATTTAAAAAATAAGTAACTATTGTTCTCAATTTCTTAAATAGGGACCAATTTATTTCTCGTTGCTGCTCATGAAATTGGCCACTCCCTGGGTCTCTTTCACTCAGCCAACACTGAAGCTTTGATGTACCCACTCTATCACTCACTCACAGACCTGACTCGGTTCCGCCTGTCTCAAGATGATATAAATGGCATTCAGTCCCTCTATGGTGAGTGACACTGGGAAAATCAGCCATTGTAGTTTTGCAATGATGGTCTTCAGAAGAGCTTTCAAATGCTACATAAAGTATTTATGATTTAGTTCAAAGCACCGTGAGAATGTTTGGAAAGCATACAAATGGGCATATATTGAAACGTATCACATTTCCCCTAATGTTCCCTTTAGGACCTCCCCCTGACTCCCCTGAGACCCCCCTGGTACCCACGGAACCTGTCCCTCCAGAACCTGGGACGCCAGCCAACTGTGATCCTGCTTTGTCCTTTGATGCTGTCAGCACTCTGAGGGGAGAAATCCTGATCTTTAAAGACAGGTCAGGCTGAAAAATTATATTTTCCTACCATTTTAATCTACAATGTTTAGAAAGGAAAACACGCAGAAACTTGATAGAGATTCTTAGACATTTAAAACAAAAACGTTTCTTCTGAGCTTGGAATCATTTAGATCTGGTGCTGCCTTTTCCCACATTTTCCTAAAATTGTCAGGTTCATTTTTGAAGGCACAGGCTGATCTGGTTCTTAGCTTCTAATTGCTGTTTCCAAATGTCTTAAGTCACAGTTACTTTTCAAAAGGCATGAGTAGATCTTTCGAATAATAATTTTATTTTTACTTCCTTTAAAAATGACATCAGGATCAACATTACATTTAATCAAGTAATTTACTTACTGATGGATCAATATGCACATGACAAACATTCAAAGAGCACAAATGAGAAGCAAATTAAAAATTTTAGTTCCCAGTTCTCCCTGTACTCATCCAGAGTCAAGACTTTTTGTGCATCCTTCCAGAATCTTTCTACACACATACAAGAATATATTTACACAGCACATACACGTATACAAACACGGCCTAGCTTTTGGAAGAGGGTATAGCACACGCACTGTTTTGCATACATTGCAGGTAATTAAAGCTTATGCTGGGCTAATTCATTTGCACGATAGAATAATTTTTCTTTCATAGAAGACATTACTCTGGAAACCTATGACGGGAGACTCACTACAGTCTTCTGAAGAAAAAGGAAAGAAATTTTCTAATGGCAATATACCTGATTTCTATCTGTCATCCAGCCTAGAAGATGAGAGAATGGGGGAAGCTGGGTGAGGCAAGACGGTGAGGAAAATATTCTAAAGGTGAAAGATTGTTTTTCAATTTACATTTCTTTTTACATATATTTTAGGCACTTTTGGCGCAAATCCCTCAGGAAGCTTGAACCTGAATTGCATTTGATCTCTTCATTTTGGCCATCTCTTCCTTCAGGCGTGGATGCCGCATATGAAGTTACTAGCAAGGACCTCGTTTTCATTTTTAAAGGTAATTACTATATCATCATTTGTTTAACTTGCCAAAGTAAACCCTCTCATAAGAAATTGAACAACACTTTAATTTTCCCTACTACAAGTTCTGGCTAATACAGTAGTCAACGGTAATGAAGAAATAACCAGGGCTGATATCATTGTATTTATATTTCATAGATGATAAAAATAAAGACAAGAAGATAAATTACCCAGAGTTGTAAATTCTCTCATTTGACCTTAGTTCATTCATTCAGTCTGCAAATTTTTGTGAAAAGCCCACTGTAAGCTGGTGACTAAATCTAAAATTTGGGCTACTACTTTACCATGAAAATCAAAGATGCTAAAGTGTATTTCTAAAGCGAAAGGGCTTAACTGTTATAATTCAATATGACTCTGAATTATTTATATTTAACAGGAAATCAATTCTGGGCTATCAGAGGAAATGAGGTACGAGCTGGATACCCAAGAGGCATCCACACCCTAGGTTTCCCTCCAACCGTGAGGAAAATCGATGCAGCCATTTCTGATAAGGAAAAGAACAAAACATATTTCTTTGTAGAGGACAAATACTGGAGGTGAGATGCAAGAGAAATGACTTTGTATGGAGCCTAATTAGGGAAATTAGTTTCTTTTACTAAGGAAATCCCCCACCCCAACCTTAGGCCTGCTTCTCTCTTAGTAGGAAGGATGGGACTTCAGACAACTGTGGGAAAGTTCTTACTTTAAAACAGCAGCACCTTAGGCTCTCCTGCTTTCAGTCCCAAGTGCAGTTGGCTGGTGCTTCCCTTGGTGCTGTCACCCCACCTGCCTGGAGCCCCCTCTTCTCTCCTCAACCTATTCAAATCTTGCCCATCCTTCAAGTCCTGGCTCAAGTCTCATCACCTCCATGCAGCTTTCCCTCGTGGACTTTAGACCCATTGGGAAAATGTTCTGAGAACCCAGACCGCAATTTAGCGTTCCCTTCCCATTGTCTTTTAGTTTGGCTCACTGTCTCACTGTGTGTTTGTCACTGTCTCATTGTGTGTTTGTTTTGTCTTCCTAACACTACTATATGATTTTCAAGGGCTACCTCTAACCTCACCCACTTGTCACCTCTACCTGATAATGATGGCTCATTTAAGAGATGATGATCAATAGCAGTCCAGTTTATGGATACAACCCAACACTCACAGACAGGTTGATTCCTGGGTCATTTGGCCAGACTTTGAGACATCGAGGCCGACCATCTGATATCCAGCCAATGGGCTAAAAACACACTTACTGTGCTTTGCTTCTTATCCTAATCCCTTTTCCCAGGAGGCCACCAGAGAAGATTTAGATGTGCAGGGGAGGGGACAGCAGGCATATATGGGCCAATTGTGGTAGGGAATTAAAATTGCATTTTAGATGTTGATTCAATTCACTTTATATATATGTTCACACTTTCATGTCTTTGTGACAGAAAGATGATTAAGGTTCTTTCTGTCCAGGCTTAAGAAATATGATGACAAACAGCATGTGCTACATACAGCAGGATGCGGCCCCTGTTCCGGATGGAGATATGGCTTTCAGAACTCTTTACAGTACCATTAAAGTCACATATTTCTATAGTCCCAAATATGCTTGGCATTTATTTGCAGTATTTATAAAGTTTAGTAAAATTCCACATTAAACCTAACATGATCTAAGATGTTCGGTAACATGGCCTCTATGCAATGCTGAGCTGTTTCTTTTACTTGGTACAGATTTGATGAGAAGAGAAATTCCATGGAGCCAGGCTTTCCCAAGCAAATAGCTGAAGACTTTCCAGGGATTGACTCAAAGATTGATGCTGTTTTTGAAGAATTTGGTAAGAGGATACTTACTGTGTTGGCCATAGAGCACTTGAAACATTTTATGATATCAGAGGGAAGAGGAGCATTGAAACTTTTTAATAACAAGTGTTTCTTAGGGCCAGTTCCCTTCTCAAAATTTTGATTCGCCTACATTTGTACTCATTATAGAACTACTTCACAAAATAACTTGTTTGGAACCATAAAGATAATTACACAAATCTCGCTACTTTATCTTATACATGCATATAAAATCAAAGTGCTCCAGTGTCACTTACATCTCGAGCTAACATGTGGAGTCAAGCTCGACTTTCAGATTACCATGTTAGCATAAAAATCCCATCAAGTGGTGTGGCCAGGTTTAATGTTGGTTAGCTGGCCTTCTCCTCCACCCTATCTTATTGCTGCTACTAATTCCCAGGGAGATTTTTTGTCTGTCTTTCCTGAGTTGTCAGTCATTGCCCATGCCAGTCATTTGCAAATACTTACCTTTCCATGTGCCCAAAGTTTAAAAAAAAAAAAAGATTTTGTTTTCTACTCAAGGTAAGGAAGTGGAGGCTGATGATCTTTATTGAAAGGTAACCTGATCACCATGTTTGCAGAGCACTAAAGGGTCCCCTGGTGTTTTGAAATAGTTGCTGTGCTTCCTAGGCTGCAATGCAGGGAAAAGGGAGGAGGATTTTTGGGGAAGAAAGAAATAGGTGATGAGAGTTTCCAAGCAAGTGGAGAATTTATCTGATCGGAAGCAGAATAACCCTGTAACCTGGAATCTGGCTGTGTTTTCAGACAGAGCTGGCACCGAGTGCTGTCTCCATTCTTCCTTGCTGAGTAACCTTGAGGAAGCATCGAAATCTGTCTCAACCTCAACTTGCTCAATCTGTAAATGGAGTTAGACATACAACCTCATAGGGTTGTTGCAGAAATAAATGAAAATAAATTCATGTAACAAGCTTGGCATAGTCCCTGACATAAAGTAAAGCTCTATAAACACTTTCTATTTTTAGTTCTCTATGATTCTGAGTTTTGTATATTGTCAAATGTCTTTATTTGGAAAAATATCTTACTATTTCCCTTGTCTGTATTTGCAGGGTTCTTTTATTTCTTTACTGGATCTTCACAGTTGGAGTTTGACCCAAATGCAAAGAAAGTGACACACACTTTGAAGAGTAACAGCTGGCTTAATTGTTGAAAGAGATATGTAGAAGGCACAATATGGGCACTTTAAATGAAGCTAATAATTCTTCACCTAAGTCTCTGTGAATTGAAATGTTCGTTTTCTCCTGCCTGTGCTGTGACTCGAGTCACACTCAAGGGAACTTGAGCGTGAATCTGTATCTTGCCGGTCATTTTTATGTTATTACAGGGCATTCAAATGGGCTGCTGCTTAGCTTGCACCTTGTCACATAGAGTGATCTTTCCCAAGAGAAGGGGAAGCACTCGTGTGCAACAGACAAGTGACTGTATCTGTGTAGACTATTTGCTTATTTAATAAAGACGATTTGTCAGTTATTTTATCTTATTGTTGTGTTTGTTTGTTTCAAGGGCAAGTTGTTCTCATAATTTGGGCACTTTATGGGCTGAGCATGCTCAGCCAGTAGACTAGAGTCTCCATGGCTTGGGGTTCACAATGGGTTCCAGAACTGCAGAGAATCTACCACTTGCCCTCCTCATGAGCCCTGCAAACAGGATGCTTATTTCTACCACCTAGACATTTTATGTGTCCTGACATACCTAAGGCAAAAAATCTAGAGGGGTTGTGACATTGTAGAGCAGGCTCTAGGAAAAACTGTGAAGGGAATCCTATAATCATAGCAAATTGCCTTGTTTGCACATCTCATTTTACAGGGTGAGGAAATCAGACTTGTTTTTCATCTTTTCCTTTTACTTATAAATTCCCTCAGTGCAGGTCCCTCCCCTGACCTAGCAAGCAAACTTCCTCATATCTACCCTATTCACATGGTAAAATATACTCTTGTACTCATTTTGTATCTGCCTGTGCCTGGATGTAAATGCCCATTGGCAAATGACGATTCTAACATTGGTTTATCATCCATAACTAATGTCTCTAGCACAATGCCTCGTACATGGTAAGAGCCGTTTTTAACTTATCCATTCATCTGAGAGTAATTTACAAATCATATTCCATATGCCAGGCATTATGCTAGGTTGCAGGCATAAGAATATGAAAATAATAGACACAGGCCCCTGCCCTCATCGAGATTATAATCCAGCGAAAAGAACACGTGTAGATAACCACAAATATAAATACGCAATTGTAAATTTCATAAGAGTTATAAAGGGAAAAAAATAATAGGAGGATCTATTTTGAACCAGATGGTTTTAGAAGAACTTTTGAGGGAATGGCATTGAAGGAGGTTTTGAAAGGAGGTGTGGAGACTAAGAGGGGAGATGATGGCTTGGACCACATGGGCACACGGGAGAGTTAGGAATGAGAGTAGACTCTATAGATATGAGATAGATAACAGAACTTAGTGATGGATTAGATATGCAATTTGAGAGAAAAGGAAATGTTCCGAGTAAATCCTAGGTAGCTTGCTTGAGCATAAGAGCTGATGGTGACGGCATTTACTGAGATGGGGAAAGACTTGGAGAGAAGAAGGTTTGTGAAGGAAGGGCAAGAGTTAGGATGAATTTTTTATGTTTGCCCATTTTTGAAATGTGTTGGAGAAATTCAAGCACCCAAGAGCTAAAGGAATCTGAAATGCAAAAGAGACACACACATATATATAAAACATATATGTATATGGAAGGTTTCAACATTGAGATTATTCTTAAAGCCAGAAGTATGGGAGAGATCATATGGGGAGAGTTTAAGATAAAACTAATGAATAGCAACATTTGGTCAAAATTTACAGCATTTCTTTATTTTTAAAATTACCTAATTTTATTTATTTCTAATAGGTACTACCTTAGCCACAACACAAAATCCAAACGTTAAAAGACATTATGCAATATAAACAATTTTCCTCCCACCCCTGTTTCCAACATCTAACTCCTTTTCTCAGAGGTAACCAAGCAGATCTTTCTTGAATCCTTCCAGAGCTATTTTACGCATACCAAGCATTAATATAATCTTTCAAAATAAAAATGGTACTATGCAAAATTACACTGTCTTGCTCTTTGATTTTTTTCACTTAATGTATCTTGGCAGCTATTCCACATTAGTACATGTAGAATTGCTTTATTCAATTTTTTTTTCTTTAGGTGCACTTAATTTAATATCAAGACCACAATACAAAAGGCCCAAATACAATGAAAAAACACATTTGTCCATTAACACCAATGATAATGCTCTTTCAGCACATGCCTGCCGAATGGAATGCGGATTTAATAAAGCTCACTCCTGAAAAAAATAACCCAGTGAGTCTCACCACAGCCAACATCCTTAAGCAATCTGGTTGTGAAATGAATGTTTATAATGCTTCAAACAGCTTAAACCTGAAGTTTGATACCACACCTTCATGTTTGCACAGTTCTCAATAAGATTATCTACAATATTTACAACCATTCAAAGGTAAACCATTGATTAAAACCACATTCATTTAAGACTCAATAATTCCCATAAATATGTACAATTATTATGTATCAATAAAAAAGAATCAAGTAATATAGAGCCTCAAACTAAATGGTTAAATATATGAACGACTTATACTGACAACTAATATTTGATTTTCTGTGACTATTTAAGGTTGGTTCTTAGCAAATAATCCCTTTAAAGGCAAAATTCACCTCATTTGAGTTTTGACCCAGCAGTTCAACAACAATGATGAAGTTCACAGTCTTACTGGCAAAACCAATATGTTGAAAAGTCCTCATTTAACATCTGGATAAGTTCTTGGAAACTCTGATTTTAAGCAAAGGGATGCATAAGGAAACCATTTTTACCATAGGCTAATTGATACAAACAAGAGTTAAATTTCTATGGCATATTTCTAAGTCACAAAAACATCACCGAACTTCTAACTAAAGACCAAAACACTTCTAAATAGTAAACACTGTAGGCCCAGCACAGTGGCTGACACCTGGAATCTCAGCACTTTGGGAGGTCAAGACGGGCAGATCACTTGAGGTCAGGAGTTCAAGACAAGCCTGGCCAACATGGTGAAACCCTGTCTCTACTAAAAATACAAAAATCAGCAAGACGTGGTGGCATATGCCTATAATCCCAGCTACTCAGGAGGCTGAGGCAGGAAAATCGTTTGAACCAGGGAGGCAGAGGCTGCTGTGAGCCGAGATCGCGCCACTGAACTCCAGCCTGGGCGACAAAGTGAGACTCTGCCTCAAAAAAAAAAAAAAAAAAGAAAAGGAAAAGTAAACATTGAAATAAATGCGAGTTATGCATACATTTAAGAAAAATTAATAAAAAACAAGTAAGATAATTATTTACCTTCTTGTTTCAGTTCAGAGTGTTGAGTGGCTGGAGCCCATCCTGGCAGCTCAGGCCAGCCCTGGATAGGACTCCATTCCATCATCGCAGGGCGCACTCATACTCACTCACACTCACCAGTCTGCGACCATGTAGACAAGCCAGTGAGCCTCATGTGCACAGCTGTGGGATGTGGGAGGAAACCAAGTACCCAGAGAAAATCCACAAAGACACAGGGAGAACCTGAAAACTCCACACAGACCATGGCCCTGACCGGAAATGGATTTTTTTTCTCTTCGACGTCATAACTAATCCATGTTATTTGAAGACCTGCTCTTTAGAGTTTCTAAGTCACTATGCTCAAGGGTAAGAGCAATGCATAGTCCATTTTCCATTTTACTGGAATTTATGTTCAATTCATGATTTAAAGTCTCCAGGTTTTCATTTCTCCGAACTGTCCAAAGACATTGTGTGCCTTAGGACCTTGTTTCTCCCTCTATTTTCTTCAAACAGAAACATTTCTCAAGTATCCACATGTTCCCAAAGAGGAATTCTTCAGAGGTGGCCGCTTCTTTGGGATAGTGCAAGTCTACCAGGCTTCTGAAGCAAAGCGGATGGGGAGGGAAAGAACTGAAGTGCAAGGTTCATTGGTAAGTTTCACATTAACCATTAGGAGCTGGGGAGTATAAAAATGCGGCTTTTTTCCTTTCCTCTCAAAAAGTCTGAGTGTTGGTGTAGAAACGAGTCCTTGGCTGTCCCCCCAGTGACTTTCTAGTAGTGGGACTGTCAGGGAAGCCTTGACTGAGAATATGACTGGAGAGTTTACCTACCAGGCGTAAACTTCCAGGCACTCTGTTCATTTTGGGCTTGTTCCCGTTTGTCTTCAGTCAGGGCCAGATCACCTTTCATTTTTAGGAAAACAGGTTGATGGCTCGGTCTACCATTGTTGATCGGGCCACGCTGGGCCACAGATTTGCTGGAGGTACTAAATTCGGGTAGGACGCCTCGCATCTCCTGCCTCTTGTCTGCTAGTCGCATCGCAAGGACGTTTGCCCCGCGCAGACTCTTGCTGCTTTTGCTTTAGTTTTCACTGAGGTTGAGGTCAGCGTTCTTGCCTCCAAAGCTTGCGCATGTGTTTCATATTGTTTCCATTTTAGAATTCATTCATCTCCTGCCATCCGTTTGAAGTTTCGCTCAGTCTAACCCTTTGGGGAAGAGGGTTTTTTGTTGGTCATCTTGAATCCGAAGAGTCGCCTCCCAGATGCGGCCGTGGTCACCCACCGCCAGCCCCACCAGGGAGGAAAGGAAGGGGGCTGGTCGCCAGCAGAGCCCGATTCGTCGGACCTCGCTCTGGCTCTTCCCCGGAGTCTGGCGCCCCTCCGCGGCCACGGGACTCTGCGAGCTCCTGTTTATTGCACCAGCTGCGCTCAAAGGAAGAAATACGCAGCTTATTCAGTCCCCTATTGGTGATTCAATAAATACATTTATACATTAAATAAATGCAAAAACCAACTAAATAAAATGTTAAAGTAACAAAAAATAAAATTAGTTTGAAATAAGTGTAAATATTAAAAGAAAATAATTTTATAACATTTGAATATATTTATATAATATTTAAAATTAAAATATATTTAAGATAAAAATAATAAAACATAAATGAAATAAAATTGTGTGCATCAGTAGATTATTTTCAGTATTCAGTGTATCAGTAGCCTATTTTTTAATATTTTGCTGTGATATCCAACGCTACAGTGAATATCCTTAAGCACACTTGCATATTGGATGGAAAATCTAATCTTCAAAGGCTGAGCAGAGATACAGGAGCAGGAAAACTATTTGTTGGATTCTCCAACATGAGGGCCACTGATGCTCTTTACAACAGCAGCGTTGGTGAAGTGATGGAGCTGAATTCTGATTGAAGCTGGTAGAAAAGTTGGCAAGTTAGGGTGTTTTTGGCTATAGGTAGCAGAAAATCTCAACTGATTTAAAAATAAGGAATTTTCTGGTTCATATTACATAAAAGTACAGCACTAAGACAGGTTTTAGTTTCGGTGCGATCAGAGTTCTGGCTCCATCACTTTGCGGTTATCTTGGTTCTGTCCTTGTGTCAGTTTTACCTTGAGGCTGGCTTTCCTCACGGCAGCAACACAGCTATGTTGTTTAGTGTCCAGGCAACGCACCTTCTTAAATCACCACCTTCAAACACGAAAGGACAGTTCTGAGTGTCCTCCTGTTTGGACCATCCCTTACCATATGGTCATCCTAGACCAATCACCATGGCAGGGAGGATCAATCAATTTCACTGCAGTCATGTTTTTGTTACACAGTGAGGTGAAGGAAAGACATTGAGTCACCAATCTCTGTCCATCTACTACAAAGAGAAACTGGAATGTGAGAAAGTCGAAATAACAGATGCAAATAATTCTTAGGAAATGTTGTGCTGAGAAGGAAGTGGAAAATACTTTCTCTGTGCTATCAGACCTGATTCATAGTTCTTATGCATGTCTTAACTGTTAGGCTGGTAGTTGATTTCAATAATGCAGAAATATAAGTTTAGAGTAATTCAGTAGCATTGCCATAATCACATAGCAAGTACATAGCCAGGATCCAATTTCATATCCTTCTAGATTCAAAGATCATGTTCTTATTTTGTCTAGGGACCCAGACAATAAATCAGCCTGGTTGCCTTATCTTTTCAGTTTTGACTCCATTCCGAACTAGGGGTTCTGCAGTGTCATATGGCATGACCACATTGGGGCTGGTTCTTCCTCAATTCTGCAGTTTAAAATCCCCACAGCCCAAGGGCCGGGGTTCTTTTGAGTCTGATATCTAGCCCTGCTAAATTTCTTTGTGCTGTCCTAAATTGTAATGAACAATGGAGAACCTCACACCAGCTACTCGTCTGTAAATTTCCCCAAGCAATCTTGTTCCAGAAATGTTTGTTTGTTCCAGGTATGTATTTTTGTGCTGACAAGGCTTTCACCTGAATTTGACACCGACCAGAGGCTAAGCCCCAGGGACCAGACATGTAGCCCATGTCGGGACAAGACCAGCTCTAATGGTGACTGATGCTGAATCCCAGAATGATGTTTGATAGCTGGCTCAATTCCTCTTGCTTCAGGCAGGCTTATTGGAGTACGTTTGCATTTACAGGAAATCATGCAGTGACACTAGACTGGGGGAGGGACACTAGACTGGGGGAGGGACACTAGACTGGGGGGCAGGGGAGGAAAGCAGAAGCTGGGAATCTGGTTTGGACTCAGCAATAAACCAACAGAAATATGGGTTTGACACAAATAAGAACGTTCATAAACGATAAAGTACAGAATCTCACCAGTTAGTGAGCAGATGGGTTATAATGACAGAAGCATTTAAGAAGCCTATTATCACAAATCAAGCAATATGGAGATTAGCCGTGATCCTATTGTGAAGGAGCACTGTGGGAAGAGTGCATTGAAGCTACTCAGATCTGGCAGGAATAACTTGTGAAAGCAATTTTCTGTAAAATTGAAGAAGTTGGCAGGGTTTAATTATGAGAAAAAGTCCAGCTTGCTAACCACCTGGGATTTGGGTAGAATCATTCTGGAAGCAGCACAAACACCCTTTGCCTTGGTTTATAATCACTGATAATAATCTGTGTGTAAAACTTTAGTGGCTGTAGCGGACCTAAAATAGTAATTATCTTTTCTTTGGTTGGGAGCAAATTAGCTACTTCTGGAAGGAATATATGTATGTACATTATATATAATGTATATTATACATAATGTATGTAATGTATATTATACATAATGTATGTAATGTATATTATACATAATATATTATATTCTACAATGTAATCTAATATAATATATGAAACTCTATTACATTATGCATAATATACATTATATTATGTATGTATATTATATATACATGTATATATACGTGTATAAAAACGTGTATATACATATATACGTGTATATACATATATACGTGTATAAAAACGTGTATATACATATATACGTGTATAAAAACGTGTATATACATATATACGTGTATAAAAACGTGTATATATACATATATACGTGTATAAAAACGTGTATATATACATATATATGTGTATAAAAATGTATATATACATATATATGTGTATAAAAATGTATATATACATATATACGTGTATAAATGTATATATACTTGTATAAATGTATATTATGCATAATGTACATAATGTATATTATGCATAATGTACATGTTTATTATACACAATGTATATTGTATATAATGTATATATACTATATAACATTTATGTGTATTACATATTTATACAATGTAGATCATATATAATGTATGTTATGTATAATATATATTTAATAGAGAATGAATACAAGTGAGACTTTTGTTTAAGGAATGTTATTATGCTGTGTTATGTTTTGCAGTCACTGCTATTTTGAATATTTTCTGTTTTTAAGTTGTTTGCAAAGTGTATGAGAATTTGAGTTAAGTGAGTCAATTGATTGATTTATTAGATTACTAAGCATTACTTAAGTGTTTAGAAATATCTGGCTTGTTGGGTTTTAAGTCTGCATAATAGACTTGCATTATCTGAAAAAATTACCTACATTGAAATTGTAATTATGATTTGAAGTGTTGATGAAAATATTACTTATGAATTCAAATAGCATTAAATGATTAAGGTTAATTTATTATTTTTACTGTACAAATCAATAAATATTAATCAAAGCTAGTGAAAATGATTGTACTTATTTTTATATAAATATACTAGATTAATAAACAAGATTAGAAAGCTGAACTTAAAATATTAAGAAAACTTAGGATTTAACTCTTTAATAGATGGAGTATTATTATAATAAAAGTAAAACTCTAAGTATTAATAGGCATGCAAAAAAGGCCCCCTTAGACATTAGCAAATCCAATTGAAAGGCTAACGTATATTACTATTGCTATCTTAACACAGAAGGGAAACAAATACTTTGTATATACTATCTCATTTAATTCTCACCTATGAAGAAGATATTATTAAACTTTTTTACAAATATAGGGATGTATAGAGAGATTGCACAACATCCTCAAGGTCATACAGATAGTAAATGGCAGAGCCAGATATCTAATGCATCTAGTCTGACACCAAGCTTATGTTACATCCACTTTGCTGCCTCTCTATTCTTTAAGTTAACATGAATTAACCTATGATATGGTGTGGCTGTATCCCCACCCAAATCTTATCTTGAGTTGTTGCTCCCATAATCCACATGTATCATGGAAAGGACCTGTTGGGAGGTAACTGAATCAAGGGGGTGAGTTTTTCCTGTGTTGTTCACATGAGAGTGAGTAAGGCTCACAAGATCTGATGGTTTTATAAAGAGCAATTCCCTTATGCACGCTCTCTTGCCTGCCACCATGTAACATGTGCCTTTGCTCCTCCTTTGCCTTCTGCCATGATTGTGAGGCCTCCTCAGTCATGTGGAACTGTCAGTCTATCAAACTTCTTTCCTTTATAAATTACCCAGTCTTGGGTATGTCTTTATTAGCAGTGTGAGAACAGACTAATACAGTAAGTTGGTATCAGTAGAGTGGGGTGCTACTGTAAAGATACCCGAAAATGTGGAAGTGACTTTGGAACTGGGTAACAGGCTAGGTTGGAACAGTTTGGAGGGCTCAGAAGATATGAAAATGTGGAAAAGTTTGAAACTTCCTAGAGACTCAGAGGGCTTAGAAGACAGGAAGGTGTGGGAAATTTGGAACTTCCTAGAGACTTGTTGAATGGCTTTGACCAAAATGCTGGCAGTGATTTGGACAAAAAGGTCGATGCTGAGGTTGTCTCAGATAGAGATGAGGATCCTGTTGGGAACTGGAGGCCACTCTTTTATTTATTTTTCTGAGAAGGAGTCTAGCTCTGTCACCCAGGCTGGACTGCAGTGGCGCAATCTCGGCTCACTGCAAGCTCCACCTCCTGGGTTCACGCCATTCTCCTGCCTCAGCCTCCCAAGTAGCTGGGACTACAGGCACCTGCCACCGTGCCTAGCTAATTTTTTGTATTTTTAGTAGAGACAGGGTTTCACCTTGTTAGCCAAGATGGTCTCAATCTGACCTCATGATCTGCCCGCCTTGGCCTCCCAAAGTGCTGGGATTACAGGCATGAGCCACTGCACCTGGCCAGGTCACTCTTGCTATGCAAAGAGACTGGTGGCATTTTGCCCTTGCCCTACAGGTGTGTGGAATTTTGAACTTAGGAGAGATGATTTAGGGTATCTAGGGGAACAAATTTCTAAGTGGCTAAGCATTCAAGAGGTGATGGGATATAAAAGTTTTGAAAATTTGCAGCCTGACAATGAGATAGGAGAGAAAAACTTTTTTTCTGAGGAGAAATTCATACCTGTTGCAGAAACTTATATAAAACAAGGAGCCAAATGTTAATCACCAAGACAATGGGGAAAATGTCTCCAGGGCATGTCAGAGACCTTCATGGCAGCCCTTCCCATCACAGGCCCAGAGGCCTGGGAGGGAAAAATGGTTCTGCGGGCCAGGGCCAGGACCCCCCCTTTGCTGTGCACAGCCTTGGGACTTGGTGCCGTGCGTCCCAGCCACTCCAGCTGTAGCTAAAAAGGGCCAACATACAGCTCAGGCAATTGCTTCAGAGGGTGCAAGCCCCAAGCCTTGGAAACTTCCAAGTAGTGTTGGGCCTGTGGGTACAGAGAAGTCAAGAATTGAGATTTGGGAATCTCTGCCTAGATTTCAGAAGATGCATGGAAATGCCTGGATGTCCAGGCAAGAAGTTTGCTGCAGGGGTGGAGCCCTCATGGAGAAACTCTCTAGGGCAGTGTGGAAGTGAAATGTGGGGTTGGAGCACCCACAAAGAGTCCCCACTGGGACACTGCTTAGTGGAGCTGTGAGAAGAGGCCCACTGTCCTGCAGACCCCAGAATGGTAGATCCAATGACAGTTTGCACTGTGCACCTGGAAAAGCCACACTCAATGTCAGCCAGTGAAAGCAGCAAAAATGGGGGCCATACCCTGCAAAGCCACAGAGGCAGAGCTGCCCAAGGCTGTGGGAGCCCACCTCTTGCATCAGCATGACCTGGATGTGAGACATGGAGTTAAAGGAGATCATTTTGTAACTTTAAGGTTTAATGACTGCCCTGTTGGATTTTAGACTTTCCAGGGGACTGTAGCCCCTTTGTTTTGGCCAATTTTTCCCATTTGGAGCAGGTATATTTACCCAATGCCTGGTACCCACATTGTATCTAGGAAGTAACTAACTTGCTTTTGGCAGAAGGGACTTGCCTGTCTTAGATGAGACTTTGGACTGTGGACTTTTGAGTTAATGCTGAAATGAGTTCAGACTTTGGGGGACTGTTGGGAAGGCATGATTAGTTTTGAAATGTGAGGACATGAGATTTGGGAGGGGCCAGGGGTGGAATGATATGGTATGGCTGTGTCCCCACCCAAATCTCAACTTGAATTGTAGCTCCCATAATCCACATGTGTTGTGAGAGGGACTCACTGGGAGGTAACTGAATCATGGAGGTGAGTTTTTCCCATGCTATTCTCACGACAGTGCATAAGTCTCATGAGATCTGATGGTTTTATAAAGAGTACTTCCCTTACACATGCCCTCTTGCTTGCCACCATGTAAGACAAGCCTTTGCCCCTCCTTTGCCCTCTGCCATGATTGTAAATCCTCCTCAGCCATATGGAATTATGCGTCCATTAAAACTCTTTCCTTTATAAATTTCCCAGTCTTGGGTATGTCTTTATTAGCAGCATAAGAATGAACTAATACAGCCTATAAATGTGATTAAGAGCAAAAGAGATAGAGCAAAGAACAGACTGAGTGACATAATAGGGCAAGAGTTGGAATAAAGAAACAGCTGGAGTAGAGGAAGTGGTTGGCTCTTTGTAGCAGGTTGAGTCAAAGGGGTAAGTTTAGGTGACCTAGGAATGGATGTATAATACAGACATTCAGAAGTGGAAGGTTCATAATTTTGATAAGATCCTTTAAGTGACATTTTATATTATTTTTCTATTAATAAAATAAATCTTACGCCTGGTAATGAAATATCTCATGTGCACCCAAGGGCCTATTTCTAAGTAATGTAGCCATTTCATAATTCAAAAATAGCTGATAATTTCTCAATTAGGAAATGTCCATTACAAAATCACTGCAAAATCTGATGCCACAGGAGAAGCTTGAGTGACTCATAAAAGAGTACTGTGCAGGACATCTACACTCCTGGAACACATGTGGTATCTGAGACTACAAATGGATTCTTAAAGGCATGGAAATATTTTATGCATCTGCTGCAGAATACTGAACCAATATCCCTAACAAATTTATCTGAAAATGACAATTTAATCTTAAATTTTTCTGTGTGTGAACTTCCTTTGAATTTATTATCTCTCAAGTCCTAATGTGTTACCCTTTGACTGTCAGGTAGATGAAGTAGTCTTTTTCTCAATGTTCTGAGACCACATCAGTCTTGTGATTAATCAGATGCAAATTACATCCTTGTGAATGAGTGATCAACTTACAAAAAGAGTCATAACCATAAGACTATAGTTTGCAGAAATTTAGGTCAAAATCCTGCTCTGCTAAGAAAGGACAAAAATGCTTTCTACCTTTCGGGAGCTCACAATTGAGAATTATACCACTGATATGGAGATACATAAAGAGCAGACAGGGTAGGAGATATTAATTTGCTTTTTCATTCATTCATTCTTTCGACAATATTCACTAAGCACTCATTATATGCCAAGCACTTCTAAGAGCTTTGATAAATCAGTGTATTAGTTCATATTCATGCTGCTGATAAAGACATACCCAAGACTGGGCAATTTACAAAAGAAAGAGGTTTAATGGACTTACAGTTGCACATGGCTGAGGAGAACTCACAATCATGGCAGAAGCTTAGGAGGAGCAGTCATGTCTTATATGGATGGCAGCAGGCAAAGAGAGCTTGTGCAGGGAAACTCCCCTTTTTAAAACCATCAGATCTTGTGAGACTTATTCACTAGCATGAGAACAGCACAAGAAAGACCTGCCCCCATGATTCAATTACCTCCCACTGGGTCCCTCCCATAACATGTGGGAATTCAAGATGAGATTTGTCAGGGGAACACAGCCAAACCATATCAATCAGTGAAAAAAACAAAGATCTTTGTCTTCTTAGAACTTGCATTCAAACAAGAGAGACGGATAATAGCAAATAAATAACTTATGTCATATATTAGAAGGAGATAAGTACAATGGAAAATAGAAAAAGTAGAGTGAGGTTGGGATTGCAAGCAAAGAGGGCTTGGGGTGGTGACAGTTGCAGTAGGGTGCTCAAAGTAAGCCTCGTGGAGAAGATGATATCTGAACAAAGACTGGGAGAAGGCGAGAGAGCTTGCCAAGTGAATCTAGGAAAAAAGCACTCCAGCCTGAATAACAGCTAGAGTGGAGGATCCTAAGATGGAGTGTGATCATGATGGTCAAAGGACAGCAAGAGGACTACTTACAACAATCAAAAGGTGGGAGGGGAGTGGAAGTGCTAGAAGATAAAGTCCCAGGGATAAGGGTTGAGGTGGAAGGCAAAGTGAGTGGGGGTATTGGGCCAATATAAACACGGGCTTTCACTGTGAGTGAAATGGGGGTGGGCATTGGAAGGTGTGGAGCAGAAGAGCCTCTGGTGCTCTGCTAGGTTAGATTGTATGGGAGAAAGGGTAGATTCACAGAGACCTATGAGGAAGCTACTGCAGTATTCCGGCCAAGAGAGGATGGTGACTCCAATCAGGACGGGAACAGTGGAAATGGAGAGAAGGATATATTAGAGGGTGGAACCAGCAGGATTTAATGACAGACTGGCTGGGAAGTGTGAGAAAGAGAGAGGAGTTTAGGATGACTTCAAGTCTTTTGGACTGAGCAACTGAAAGGATGAAGCTGCCAAGTTGCCATCACCTGAAACGTGGAAGGCTGTGGGTGGAGCAGGGAGTTGGGGCAAGATTAGAGGTTCCATTTTGGACACATTGTGTGTTTGAGAGGTCTATTTGACATCCAAGTAGAGATGTTGGATATAGGAGTATGCAGTTTAGGGAAAAGGCCTGGATTGGAGACATAAATTTGGGAGTTATCAGCACATAGATGATTTTAAGGCTTGAGAATGGATGAGTTTAACAATGTAGTAAGAAAAAAGAAGTGAAGAGATCCAAGGACTGAGTCTTGAGGCATTTCAATATTGAATTAGAAAACATCTACAATATAAGTTCATATTTTGCCACTCTTCCTTTGTAATAGAATGCAACACCACAATCATTAATGGAATAAAGCAGGATAGCATATATTATATATAATCTATATAACCTATATATAGATTGTATGTGTATAATCTATAATTATAGGTTGCTGCTTGTTGATATTTGTGAGAGTCAACAGTAGGAATTATAATATTTATATATAGATATATACATTTATATACATATATTCAATGTTTATATACATGTGATGTGCTGGTAAGATGGACAGTTTGGGACAGAAAAGTGTGAACTCTTCATAGATGCTCCTAGGATGCGCAGCCAATGAGTGGAGGACTATTTAAGTTTATTTCCTTTCTCAAGGAAGGAAATGAGGGAGAAGTGATTGGAAAAGAGAAAGGATTAAGATGGCAAAATACAGAATGACATTAGGAAACTAATCTAGATTGATCATGTAGGAAGTGGGCAGGTGTAAAGGACACCTCATACAGGAGAGCTCCGGCTGGCATCTGGCACAATCATGGCAGAAGGCAAGGAGGAGCAGTCATGTCTTACATGGATGGGAGCAGGCAAAGAGAGCCTGTGCAGGGAAACCCCTTTTTAAAACCCTTCTCACCCCTCTGGGATGAAGCTTCCAGAGGAAGGAGCAGGGAAGAGAGTGGTGTCTGGGGAGAATATTCAGAGTCCCCAGGTTGGGACCAGAGAATCTGCAGGAGGGTCTTCATTCCTCAAGGATTAGAGGCTGAGAGGGCTTCAGTCAGTCTAACTAAGAAGCAAGGCCAGGCTTAACCTCAAGCAAGGAAAGGGATACTTGAGGTTGCTTGATTTGTGTCCATCTCATTCATTCATTGATGTATTCATTCCTTAAACAGGACATTTACAGAATGTCTGTGATTGCCAGGCACTGCGCTATGGATAAAAGATATATTCAGACAGGATTCCTGCTTATACTCTAGCAGGAGAGAGAGAAAAGTGAACAGGCAAGCAGGTTACAGGATATGAGTACTATTTAGTGCAGGCACACAGAGCTGGGGAAACACATAGCAACTAACCAGGCTTCAGAGATCAGGGAAGGATTTTCGAAAAGGTACATTTAAGCTGAGACCCAAAGGGCAAATGCTTAGTAAGTCAAGGAAAGGAGGGGTGGTATCTCTTCCAAATAGATGGTATAGGATGTAAAAGCCAAGAAAGGAGAGAAAACCTGACTTTTTATCTACTTCGACTCCTTAGCAGGGTATCAAAGCCCTTCATAATTCCAGCCCTGGTTACTGATCCATCTCATCTCTTATTATCTCCTACCCCAAATGCTACACTCCAGCCATTCTGAACCACTTGAATTTCCCTATATGTACCAAGCTCTCTTCTTTCTCCAGCCCTCAAGGTCGCTGTACCCACTGCCTAGAATATTGTGAATGATATGTTTGTTATGCATGCCTATTTGTTTTTCCTTCTCTGACATGTCCTCCAAAGTCCCCATGGATATGGCAGACCTAGACAATAATGTTTGTACCAGCAACCTCACCAGTATGGCTCTAGTTGATTGGATTAGAGATGAACACAAGAATAAAGCAGAGCCTGTCATGTGCTCTTTCCCAGAATTAGAAATGATAGACCCAGAACACATGTCCATGATCAAATTCATAAGATGAACTAGGATTGGAACCAGAATTAGAACCATAGCAAGTCCTAGTCACACACAGGCTGATGTTACGGAGGGGGAGCATCAGTTTGAAGGAGCCTACAGAAAGAAAAAATAGCAAACATTCAGGTTAAGTCTATGTAAGAAAAAGAGAGAAACACAGAGAAGGCAGAGGGATGGGGGAGAGAATGAGAGACAGAGACAGAGCTTGTAATCTTTCCATTTCTCAAGAAGGCTGTCCTGAGATTAGATCCCATGAGAATCCTCAAGTTCCTTACTATAAATCCCCTGTAAATGATCTCCCAACAAAAAGATTTTAGGCTTAGACATAAGTTAAAAGTGGGTTGGCAAGCCACAGACCCTCAGAGGATATGTGGAATTGGTGGTGGGGGTCCCAGGAGGGCAGCGTAAAATACCATGTCAAAGTGAAGCCAGTACTTGAGGAGGGGGAAAAATCAGCTGATTACCTGCCATCTGTATTAAACTGTGTCCTGGAACCCAAGCCATGGGCTTCCTGAGGGTGAAGTTTTAAGGTCTTTGGATAAAAAGTAAATGTATTTGAAGGTGTTGATTATTCCTCATAATCTAAAGTCTCTAATGAAAGGAACATGTTATAATCCAGATTTCCTTACAGAAAATGAGTAAGTAAGTAAAATAAGTCAAAAAATAAAGAAGGCCTGAGACTGAGAGGCAAGATGGCCGAGTAAGAACAGCTCTGGTCTGCAGCTCCTAGTGAGACCAATGCAGAAGCTGGGTGATTTCTGCATTTGCAACTGAGGTACGTGGTTCATCTCATTGGGACTGGTTAGACAATGGATGCAGCCCACGGAGGGTAAGCAGGAGCAGGGTGGGGCGTCACCTCACCTGGGAAGTACAAGCGGTTGGGGAACTCCTTCCCCTAGCCAAGGGAAGCCATAAGGGACTGTGCCGTCAGGGACTGTACCATGAGCAACAGTGCACTCCAGAGCAGACACTACACTTTTCCATGGTCTTTGTAAACCGCAGACCAGGAAATTCCTCAGGTGCCTACACCACCAGGGCCCTAGGTTTCAAGCACAAAACTAGGTGGCCATTTGAGCAGACACAAAGCTAGCTGCAGGAGTTTTTTTTTTTTTTTTTTTTTTTTGTACCCCAGTGGTGCCTGGAACACCAGCGGGACAGAACCATGCACTCCCCTGAAAAGGGGGCTGAAGCCAGAGAGCCGAGTGGTCTTCTCAGCGGATCCCACCCTCACGGAGCCCAACAAGCTAAGACCCACTGGTTTGAAATTCTCACTGCCAGCACAGTAGTCCGAAGTCGACCTGGGACGCCCAAGCTTGGTGCAGGGAGGGGCATCCACCATTAGTGAGGCTCCAGTAGGCTGTTTTCCCCTCATAGTGTAAACAAAGCCACCAGGAAGTGAACTGGGTGTGAAACCAGTGTGGTGAAGCCACTGCAGCCAGATTGCCTCTCTAGATTCCTCCTCTCTGGGCAGGGCATCTCTGAAAGAAAGGCAGAAGCCCCAGTCAGGGGCTTATAGATTAAAACTCTCATCTCCCTGGGACAGAGCCCCTGGGGGAAGGAGCAGCTGTGGGCACAGCTTCAGCAAACTTAAACATTCCTGCCTGTCAGCTCTGAAGAGAGCAGCAGATCTCCCGGCACAGTGCTTGAGCTCCGCTAAGGAACAAACTGCCTCCTCAAGTGGGTCCCTGACCCTCATGCCTCCTGACTGGGAAACATCTCCTAGCAGGGGTCAACAGACACCTCATACAGGAGAGCTCCTGCTGGCATCTGGCAGGTGCCCCTCTGTGACGAAGCTTCCAGAGGAAGGAGCAGACAGCAATCTTTGCTGTTCTGCAGCCTCTGCTGGTGATAGCTAGGCAAACAGGGTCTGGAGTGGACCTCCAGCAAACTCCAGCAGACCTGCAGAAGAGAGCCCTCAATGTCAGAATAAAAACTAACAAACAGAAAGCAATAGCATCAACATCAACAAAAAGGACACCCACATAAAAACCCCATCCAAAGGTCACCAACGTCAAAGACCAAAGGTAGATAAATCCACGAAGATGAGGAAAAAACAGCACAAAAAGGCTGAAAATTCCAAAAACCAGAATGCCTCTTCTCCTCCAAAGGATCACAACTCCTCGCCAGCAAGGGAACAAAACTGGACGGAGAACGAGTTTCATGAATTGACAGAAGTAGTCTTCAGATGGTGGGTAATAACAGACTCCACCAAGCTAAAAGAACATGTTCCAACCCAATGCAAGGAAGCTAAGAACCTTGATAAAAGGTTACAGAAACTGCTAACTAGAATAACCAGTTTAGAGAAGAACATAAATGACCTGATAGAGTTGAAAAACACAACACAAGAACTTCGTGAAGCATACACAAGTATCAATAGCTAAATCAATCAAGTGGAAGAAAGGATATCAGAGATTGAAGATCAACTTAATGAAATAAAACATGAAGATAAGATTAGAGAAGAAATAATAAAAAGGAATGAACAAAGCCTCCAAGAAATATGGGACTATGTGAAAAGACCAAACCTACGTTTGATTGGTGTACCTGAAAGTGACGGGGGAATGGAATCAAGTTGGAAAACACACTTCATGATATTATCCAAGAGAACTTCCTCAACCTAGTAAGACAGGCCAACATTCAAATTCGGGAAATACAGAGAACACTACAAAGATACTCCCTGAGAAGAGCAACCCCAAGACACATAATCATCAGATTCACCAAGATGAAATGGAGGAAAAAATGTTAAGAGCAGCCAGAGAGAAAGGTCGGGTTACCCACAAAGGGAAGCTCATTACACTAACAGTGGATCTCTCTGCAGAAACCCTACAAGCCAGAAGAGAATGGGGGCCAATATTCAACATTCTTAAAGAAAAGAATTTTCAACCCAGAATTTCATATCCAGCCAAACTAAGCTTCATAAGTGAAGGAGAAATAAAATCCTTTACAGACAAGCAAATGCTGAGGGATTTTGTCACCATCAGGCCTGCCTTACAAGAGCTCCAGAAGGAAGTACTAAATATGGAAAGGAAAAACCGGTACTAGCCACTGCAAAAGCATACCAAATTGTAAAGACCACCTACACTATGAAGAAACTGCATCAACTAACGGGCAAAATAACCAGCTAGCATCATAATGACAGGATCAAATTCACACAAAACAATATTAACCTTAAATGTAAATGAGCTAAATGCCCCAATTAAAAGACACAGACTGGCAAATTAGATAAAGAGTCAAGGCCCATTGGTGCGCTGTATTCAGAAGACCCATCTCACATGCAAATACACACATAGGCTCAAAATAAAGGGATAGAGAAATATTTACCAAGTAAATGGAAAGCAAAAAAAAAAAAAAAAAAAAAAAAAAAAAAAAAAAAAAAAAGCAGGGGTTGCAATCCTAGTCTCTGATAAAACAGACTTTATACTAACAAAGATCAAAAAAGACAAACAAGGGCATTACATAATGGTAAAGGTATCAATACAACATGAAGAACTAACTATCCTAAATATATATGCAGCCAAAACAGGAGCACCCAGATTCATAAAGCAACTTCTTAGAGACCTACAAAGAGACTTAGACTCCCACACAATAATAGCAGGAAAATTTAACAGCCCACTGTCAACATTAGATCAAGGAGACAGAAAATTAACAAGGATATTCAGGACTTGAACTCAGCTCTGGACCAAGTGGAACTAATAGACATATACAGAACTTTCCACCCCAAATCAACAGAATATACATTCTTCTCAGCACCACATAGCACTTTTTCTAAAATTGACCACATAATTCAAAGTAAAACCCTCCTCAGCAAATGCAAAATAATGGAAATAATAAAAAACAGTCTCTCAGACCACAGTGCAATCAAATTAGGATTCAGGATTAAGAAACTCACTCAAAGCCAAACAACTACATGGAAACTGAACAACCTGTTCCTAAATGACTACTGGGTAAATAACGAAATTAAGGTAGGAATAAATAAGTTCTTTGAAACGAATGAGAAAAAAAGACACAATGTACCAGAATCTCTGGGGCACAGCTAAAGCAGTGTTAAGAGGGAAATTTATAGCACTAAGTGCCCACACGAGAAAACCAGGAATATCTAAAATCGACACCCTAACATCTCAATTAAAAGAGCTAGAGAAGCAAGAGCAAAAAATTCAAAAGTTAGCAGAAGACAGTAAATAACTAAGATTAGAGCAGACCTGCAGGAGATAGAGACACAAAAAAACCCTTCAAAAAATCAAAGAATCCAGGAGCTGGTTTTTTGAAAAGATTAACAAAAGAGATCGACGACTAGCAAGACTAATAAAGAAGAAAAGAGAAGAATCAAATAGGCACAATAAAAAATGATAAAGGGAGAATACCACTGATCCCACAGAAATGCAAACTACCATCAGAGAATAGTATAAATACCTCTATGCAAATAAACTAGAAAATCTAGAAGAAATGGATACATTCCTGGACATATACACCCGCCCAAGATTAACCAGGAAGAAGTCGAATCCCTGAATAGACCAATAACAAGCTCTGAAATTGAGGCAGTAATTAATAGCCTACCAACCATAAAAAGCCCAGGATCAGACAAATTCACAGCCGGATTCTACCAGAGGTACAAAAAGGAGCTGGTACCATTCCTTCTGAAACTATTCCAATAGAAAAGGAGGGACTCCTCCCTAACTCATTTTGTGAGACCAGCATCACTCTGATACCAAAACCTGGCAGAGACACAACAAAAAAAGAAAATTTTAGGCTAATATCCATGATGAACATCGATGCGAAAATCCTCAATAAAATACTGGCAAACCAAATCCAGCAGCACATTAAAAACCTTATCCACAATGATCAAGTCAGCTTCATCCCTGGGATGCAAGGCTGGTTCAACATACGCAAATCAATAAATGTAATCCATCACATAAACAGAACCAATGGCAAAAACCACATGATTATTTCAATAGATGCAGAGAAGACTTTTGATAAAATTCAACACTCTTTCATGCTAAAAACACTAAATAAAGTAGGTATTGATGGAACGTATCTCAAAATAATGAGAGCTATTTATGACAAACCCACAGCCAATATAATACTGAATGGGCAAAAGCTGGAAGCATTCCCTTTGAAAACCAGCACAAGACAAAGGATACACTCTCTCACCACTCCTATTCAACATAGTGTTGAAAGTTATTGCAGGGCAATATTGAAAGATAGCAGGGCAATCATGCAAGAGAAAGAAATAAAGCATATTCAAATAGGAAGAGAGGAAGTCAAATTGTCTGTTTGCAGATGACGTGATTGTGTATTTAGAAAACCCATCATCTCAGCCCAAAAACTCCTTAAGCTGATAAGAAACTTCAGCAAAGTTTCAGGATACAAAATCAATGTGCAAAAATCAGGAGCATTCCTATACACCAATAATAGACAAACAGAGAGCCAAATCATGAGTGAACACCCGTTCACAATTGCTACAAAGAGAATAAAATACCTAGGAATCCAACTTACAAGGGATATGAAGGACCTCTTCAAGGAGAACTACAAACCACTGCTCAAGGAAATGAGAGGACACAAACAAATGAAAAAACATTCCATGCTCATGGATAAGAAGAATCAATATCACGAAAATGGCCATACTGACCAAAGTAATATATAGATTCAATGCCATCCCCATCAAGCTACCATTGACTTTCTTAACAGAATTAGAAAAAAACTACTTTAAATTTCATATGGAACCAAAAATAGCCAAGACAATCCTAAGCAAAAAGAACAAAGCTAGAGGAATCACGTTACCTGACTTCAAACTATACTACAAGGTTACAGTAACCAAAACAGCTTGGTACTGATACCAAAACAGATATATAGACCAATGGAACAGAACAGAGGCCTCAGAAGTAATATCACACATCTACAACCATCTGATCTTTGACAAACCTGACAAAAACAAGCAATGGGGAAAGAATTCCCTATTGTGGGAAAACTGGCTAGCCATATGCAGAAAACTGAAACTAGACCCCTTCCTTCACCTTATACAAAAATTAACTCAAGATGGATTAAAGCCTTAAATAAAAGACCTAAAACCATAAAAAACCCTAGAAGAAAATCTAGGCAATACCATTCAGGACACAGGCATGGACAAAGACTTCATGACTAAAACACCAAAAGCAATGGCAACAGAAGCCAAAATTGACAAACAGGATCTAATTAAACTAAAGCGCTTCTGCACAGCTAAAGAAACTATCATTAGAGTGAACAGGCAACCTACAGAATGGGAGAAAGTTTTTGCAGTCTATCCATCTGACAAAGGGCTAATATCCAGCATCTACAAGGAACTTAAATTTACAAGAAAAAAAAAACCATCAAAAAGTGGGCAAAGGATATGAATAGACATTTCTCAAAAGAAGACATTTATGGGGCCAATAAACATACGAAAAAAAGCTCGTCATCATTGGTCATTACAGAAATGCAAATCAAAACCACAATGAGATACCATTTCACACCAGTTAGAATGGCAATCATTACAAAGTCAGGAAACAACAGATGCTGAAGAGGATGTGGAGAAATAGGAACACTTTTACACGGTTGGTGGGAGTGTAAATTAGTTCAACCATTGTGGAAGACAGTGTGGCGATTCCTCAGGGTTCCAGAACCAGAAATACCATTTGACCCAGCAATCCCATTGCTGGGTATATACCCAAAGGATTATAAATCATTCTGCTATAAAGACACATGTACACGTATGTATATTGCAGCACATTCACAATAGCAAAGACTTGGAACCAACCCAAATGCCCATCAATGATAGACTAGATAAAGAAAATGTGACACATATACACCACGGAATACTATGCAGTCATAAAAAAGAATGAGTTCATGTCCTTTGCAGGCATATGAATGAAGCTGGAAACCACCATTTTCCATAGACTAACACAGGAACAGAAAACCAAACACCTCATGCTCTCATTCATAAGTGGGAATTGAACAATGAGAACATATCGGCACAGGGAGGGGGACATCACACACCAGGGCCTGTCGGGGAGTTGGGGGCAAGGGAAGGGATAACATTAGGAGAAATATCTAATGTAGATGACGGGTTGATGGGTACAGCAAACCACCATGGCACATGTATACCTATGTAACAAACCTGCATGTTCTGCACATGTATCTTAGAACTTAAAGTATAATTAGAAAGGTAGAAAGAAGGAAGGAAGGAAGGGAGGAAAGAAAGAAGGAAAGAAGAAAGAGAGAAAGAAAGAAAGAGAGAAAGAGAGAGGGAGGGAGGGAAAAGAAAAGAGAAAAGAAAAGAAGGCCTACAATCTGTTATTCACGTTCAGACTACCCAAGATGTGTCTAGAAATTAGTCATGTACCTGGCTGAATTGCAACAGTTGAATGCTCTGCCCCACCCAGATGGTAACAGGAATGATAGTGTTCTGAGTGGTGAGAAATGAGTTAAAGACCAGTGAGGAAAGCTGGTGGAGGGTTCTAAGAAATCTAACTCCACTTGCCCAGTGCCTCCCTTCAAAGTGCTTCTCATTAATGGATTCCATCAGATTCCTCTGGTTCTTTAAAATAATCCTCCCTTTAATTCAGTTTGGCATTCCAACCGAATGGAAGGATTGCCTTCCAATCAAATGGTTCCTGATGAAAATGATCACACTGTTCTCCTATTTGTCTTGCACTTGAAGACCCAGCTCAGGGGTTACCATCTTTGGGGACATTCTGAGACCTTGCCAACTCTGCCTACTGGCTGTGTTCATTCCTCCTCTTATGTGCGTCCATTCACACACAGCCCACTGCAGCTGTCCACTTGAATGCATCCCACATGGGCACATTGGACGATGCCCAGCATCAAGCCCCTGACTTAGTCGATGCTCATTAAACTTTTGTTGAATGAATGAATAAGTTTGGCAAGGCAGCAATGCTTGATCCTGGGTGTGAAGAAGTAGTAGGAGTCTATCAGGCCAAGTGTGAAGAGGAAAGGAAGAGCATAGGCAATGGCATTAAGATATGAGAGAACATGTCATATCTAGGAAATTACAGGGTTTGACTACAGTAGGAAAGATGGTCTTTTCTGAGTTATAGTGTAGAGGGAAGAATATGAAGTAATTTTCTAATTATGAACATTAAATTTCTTTAAATAAATGTAACAATTGTGAAAATTATCCTCAAAGCCCATTAATCAATTAATTCAGTCAGTGAATAATTATTCAGCTGCAGCAGCAAATCTATTTTGAAAGTAGCCAGGCTATCAACAAAAAATTAAACTGTTAACATACTTGGCTAATTTACCTTGCACAAAAAGTAAATATCTGAAGCATTTCTGAAATAGATTAAAGGTGCTTCATAAAGGGGCAAAAAATATATGGCTATAAACACCCTGGCCTTTCAAGAATTTACCAAAGAGAGGTACGTGAGGATCCACATAAGTCACATAATCCCTGTAGGTCAGTAGAAAAAAGAGCTGCTCTGGGGAAGATTCCACCCTGGGGTATGGTCCTCGTAAGTGACAGATCACAGCGTAACAGGAAGCTGATTCTTAATATAACTATATTCATCAAGAATCCTCATGATTAAGGGAACATTTTCACTTTCCTAAGATAAAACTAAAGGTGGGAATTATGATGCATGACTTCCTGGCCATGATTTATGCAACTAAGGAATCTGCTGCCTTTGCATTTATTCTTAGAATCACATTTAGCTCATGCCAATGAAAGTGATGATGATAATATGACACTTTATCATATGGCTGCCTCTCAGGCAAGATTCCAAAATTATTAAGGAAGGTAACTCATTGTGTTGCTTCATGATGTACATTTAACGGAAAATTATATTCCAATGGACTTGTTTTACCTCATTGCATTATAACAATTTCCTCAAGAATCATACTTAATTTGCATCCTAGAAAATCATTTAGTATAAATATTTAGTGTGTTGAAATATTCTAATCAAGACACTTGAGCCATAGTTCCAAAAGTTTTGCTCCCAATGAAATAAAAACAAATGAAAATTTAGGGGCTCAATTTCCTCATCTGCAATGTAAGAGTAATAAAGTAGGTGATTTTAGGTGTCTTTCCACTCTAAGAGAAATTAATATTTATTGAGCTGCTATTATGTGACAAGCATGATGTACGTTGCATGTGGGGATTTAATTATCCTCAAAACTGTCATGCTGGATATTAATGTTATTATTTCCACTGTATAGGTGAGAAAACAGTATTAGAGAGGTTAACATACCCAAGAATGTAAGTCTCAAAAGTTGCAAACTCAGTTTTTGAATCCAAATCTGCCTTATACAAAAATCAGTTTTTTTTTTCACACAAGAATGCTGTTTCCAGTTCTATATTCTGTTTCTGTGTACATCTGGTAATTCAACATTTGTAATCAAGCTGCTTGGAGTACTAGTGAATGGGAGTATATAGAATTTGTAATACATGTATACAGGTAGTATTTTGATTAATATTCTAGAGACAAATTTCTTTTTTTAGTTCAAGAAAATGCCATAGACTAAGGAAATGAGTTACATGTCTGTGAATTCCTGTTTACCTTTTATTGCTGTGTAGTACCTGATCATGGGAAACAGTCTTAAAGGTCAGAAGGTAGTAAAAACAACATATGTAGTCATTCAATTTGCAAAGTACTTATCAGTTCAATTACATCATAAATAAATGGTGTAAGCATTATTATTTCCTTTTTGCAGATAACACCCAAGATTGCTCTGCTGTGATTCAAACCTGTATCATTTAATTCCAAATTCTGCACTTTGTCTATCACATCCTTTGGAGAATACTTGAAATATACATCCCCTACACATCCCCCTTCCACATACGAGATAACTATCTTCACTTACTACATCTAAAAAGCACTGAGATTGGAACGTGCATTGACTTTGGAATGAGCCCTGGGTTTAAATTTCCATTCTGCCACCTACTGGAGTTTTGGAGAAGACAACGTATGAGTTTCCATTTTTCCTCACTCACACACTCTTAAGGATCCAGATCTGAGGGATCCTGCCTCCCTAGGCCCACCTCACAACTACCCCAGGAGTTTCCAGGGACCTAGAAGTAGAGCATGGGTCTTTATGCCTGGTGGAAACAGCCCAGATGTCTCTTTCCAGTTTAAGGAAACCTCTCCCTCTCTCATGCCTCCCTGAAACCTTTTTCCTTTCCCCTCTTAGTTGAAGACATCTGACAACCTCTTCCTATGAGCTCAGGCTTTTCCAAAAGTTGGAAAGAGATATTGCCTTCATGTAGGTTTCAACTGAAGTCCTGAAGACACCTCTGAGACTAGGAGATACACAGTTCTTGGCAAAGTCAGGGAAAAATATAGAGGAAAATATAATTTTATATCTCAATATATTATCCTATGACATACTCTGTCTATAGAATTATATGTATATATTATTTTGCTGGGACTGTGTTAAATACACCTATGTATGTATAGTTACATAGACGGGTATATTTACAGATATTGAGTCATAAAGATCCAAGTGTGTGTAGGTAAAATATGTAACATGCACTGGTACCTTTTTATAGAAAGACTGCGCTAACCTTCCATGTAAATAGTATGTAGATTTGCTCTTACAACGTAGACAGCAGGGCGCTAGAAGAGCTCAGTAACAGAAGACACTGGGGGACCTGATGGGGGCTTATGACCTCAAGCTGAGCCTTAAAGCCATGGAAGAAAACAAACAGAAGCTCTAGTTGTGTAGCTTTTAAGATAGAGTTTTCTGAGGGGTTCTGGCTATAATCCTCAGAGAAGATTTCTATAAAAACTATTTTGTCCCATGCATTCTATCTATATACATTCTTCTACACCACCACAGGCATTCTACTTTTGAAAGCTGTGTGGCCTGGAAACTTAGTTTTCTTTCCCAAGACCGCAGAGGAGAACTAGGCTGTGCCTAAAGATAGGGCACTGTCTTTTATCAGCTTCACTGCAGAACGCACAGAGTCTAGTTGCAGGGTGATAGGCTGAGGCTATCTCTGCATTTTACCTGAAATTGAATTTAGTTGAGAAAGCACACACAAAAATAAAAATAATAAATCTAACTCTTATTTAGCATGTATTCTGCTATTCTGTGTCAGAAACTCTTTTCATTGCATGTGATTTAAATGGGAAATAATACATTTATATTACCCTAACTTCAAGGACCACTAATATGAAACAGGGAAGCAGAAGTTGATTTCCTTTTCAATTGATCTCTAGGATTAAATTTTTTTATGAGACGATTTGGAGAGTAGGTAATTTGGTCTCCTTTCTGAAATAGAACGAATCTCCAAAATTCTCCACAATGCAGTATGTGATTCTGAAACTGAATAGTTGCATGTCCTCAGTCTTAAGCCAAATCCCAACAAATACCTACTCATGTTTTGGTGTATAAAATGGCTTAAGAATCATTCACTTTTATCAGCTCCCCAAGACCCAACAAAGGACCCTCGCAGGCAGGGCTTATTGAAATAGTCCAGACAGCTGTCTAACCACACAAATCCTTTAAGTCCCTCTCCACTTACCTCTCCAAGAATGCCCAACAGATATTAGTTATGCCAATGTGACAAGATCTATTATCAGTAGTAAGAAGTGCCAGAACTTAAAGAATAGTAAAAAAGGACTTTGATTAAATTTGTATTTCTGGATAAATTGCCTAGAAAGCACACACTTGCATTTTGAATCTTATTTTCCCTGTCTTTCATAATATTTTTGGAGATATATACCACATAAATATTCATTGGCATAATAGGAATTACACCTAAGATTTTAACAGCTACTTGAAGAAATAATAATTTATGCAATAATTAGGCTGCATCCATTTCATGAGCAAATTAACTTCTAAGAGCTAAATTCGTGTCTGATTATTTTTGCAATTTCTAGCCTTGTAGATCAGACGTGCTTACTAAGTGGGAGTGAGTTCAGTCTACTTGCTTTCAATTTGTTCATACAAAAGTCTAGGGGATACTTAACTAACATGTGGTCCACATATACTGAGACAGTCTGATAAATATATTTTCTTTGAGAGTTCACTGTGGTTTCTTGGGTTTAACCATGTATTAGTCTGTTCTCACGCTGCTAATAAAGACATACCTGAGACCAGGTAATTTAAAAAGGAAAGAGATTTAATTGATTCATAGTTCCACATGGCTGGGGAGGCCTCACAATCCTGGCAGAAGGCGAATGAGGAGCAAAGTCAGGGTCTTACATGGTACTAGGTAAGAGAGCATGTGCAGGGGAACTCCCCCTTTTGAAAACCATCACATCTTGTGAGACTTATTCACTATCACAAGAATAGCACGGGAAAAGACCCGTCCCCATGATTTAATTACTTCCCACGGGACCACTCCCAAGACATGTGAGAATTATGGGACCTACAATTCAAGATGAGATTTGGGTGGGGACACTGCAAAACCGTATCAAACCACTTCAGCATACATAGTCACTAGGATTTCCCTCAGACTTGCAAAGCGAAAGAACTCTTACTGAAAGAAGGGACACTTACCCTTAAAGGGACACTTACCCTCAAAAGTACTAAGTGCCACTTTTTCTATTCTATTGCATGTAACCTAACATTTCCCCTGTTGAGCAAGTTTCTACAAAGCAACTGGTAAACCTTGGAGAATGGGCAGGGACACAATGAAAACATCAGCCTTTTTTCAACAAATCACCTTCCATTAAGAGAATGAGGTGAAGATAAGGAAAATATGAAAAGGGCTTTAAGAAAGTGTAATGCGCTAAGAAAATTCAGAGTGAAACTATTGGGCTGGAGCTGGAGTAACAAGACGGCAGCGTCGGCAGAGGGACAGGGGTCCTTCCGGGCTGGAGCTGCTGGCAGTGGTGGCAATGGTATCCCTGCTCTAGCTCACCGCACCCCTTTTTCCAGCCTGCACATAGCTGAGACAGCAAGGCAGTGGCGCCGCCCAGAAACAAGTGGCCCAGCCTTGTAACTGCAAGAACCCTTTCACAAACCGCAGCCTGGCAACAAGAAACCTGACTGAGCAGCGGTGATCAGGTTCCCCGTCAGCTGATTCCGGGCCGCGAATATGAGGGAGGCCTCCGTGTTCCATGTCCCGTTTCCTGCCACCTTCCGCCGTGGAGGAGCCCCAGAGGCCTCCGTCCTCCTCTCAGAGGCGTCTGGACTTGGCCTCAGCCTCTGTCTTCATCTCTTAGGATGGCGAGCAGCAGCGGATCCAAGGCCGAATTTATTGTTTGAGGGAAATATAAACTAGTAAGGAAGATCAGGTCTGGCTCCTTCTGGGACCTTTATCTGGCCATCGATATCACCAATGGCGAGCAAGTGGCAGTGAAGCTAGAATCTCAAAAGGCCAGGCATCCCCAGTTGCTGTAGGAAAGCAAACTCTGTGAGATTCTTCAAGGCAGGCTTGGCATCCCCCACATACCGTGGTATGATCAGGAAAAAGACTGCAATGTACCAGTCATAGACCTTCCGGGACCTAGCCTCGAAGACCTCTTCAATTTCTCTTCAAGAAGGTTCACAATGAAAACTGTGCTTATGTTAGCTGACCAGACAATCAATAAAATTGAGTATGTGCATACAAACAATTTTATACATAGAGACGTTAAACCAGATAACTCCCTAAAGGTATTGGACACCACTGTAGTAAGTTATTCCGTATTGATTCTGGTTTGGTCAAAAAATACAGCAACAGCAGGACAAGGCAACGCATACTGTGCAGGTAATATAAAAATCTCACTAGCACTGCCCGACGTGCCAGCATCAATGCACATCTTGGTATCGAGCAGAGTCACAGAGATGATATGGAATCCTTAGGCTGTTTTGATGTGTTTTAACAGAACCAGCTTGCCATGGCAAGGACTTAGGTCCGCAACAAAGAAACAAAAATATGAAAAGATTAGTGAAAAGAAGATGCCCACTCCTGTTGAAGTTTTATGTAAGGGGTTTCCTGCAGAATTTGCCATGTGCTTAAACTATAATCGCGGGCTACACTTTGAGGAAGTCCCGGATGAGGTGTATCTCAGACAGCTATTCCGCATTCTTTCGAGGACCCTGAACCACCAATACGACTAAACATTTTATTGGACAATGTGAAAGTTGAAAGTAGCGCAGCAGACAGCCTCTTCCAGTGGGCAGGGTCAGCAGGCCCAAACCCCCACTGGTTTCTAAGCACGAGCTGAGTAACAGAAGAAGCAGAGCAGATGATCTGTTGCTTTTGATCTCGCATTTGTTGCTGCTAGAAATTTTATTTCATATGTACACTAGCCAATGGTAGTTGCAACCAACTACTTGGTGTTAGGAACTTAATTTCAGTATGAACTGACTCTGGGCAGCACTGGTAATGCTGCATCCTGAATTGCAGCTGCTGTAATCGTGAATATTAACTGAGATAGTGAAACATGATGTCCGGTTTTCTATTGCATTTTTTTTCAAGTGAAAAAATTAAATGTTTGACTCACACAAATTAGTGGAGAAATTGGGCAAATGCCAATTTTTTTGTTAAAACCTTTTGTTTTGAACTATACTACTTTGAGATGTCATTTAAGAAGAAGGAGATAAAGTCTTCAGCCACAGTTGTGATGGTTGTAAGTGCTCGCAATTGTGCATTCTTAGCATTTTTCCATCCCTGGGCTTTGCAAGTTCTTCACTTAAAACATTCTTAAAATGGTTGTCTTGTTGCTTGAAAGCCAATTGATATGATAGCAACCAAATATTCCATTGTTTGAGCATATGAAAGGCTCTGCCTGCTCATTCGTGCTAGAAATAACAGCGTCCAAAATGAAGATGTAAGAAAAACTTAGTAACTACTAGGTTATTCTTAGGACTCTGCATTAATTTTATAATATTCTTGTTATTTAAAAAAGCATATTTGTCACAGAAATTTAGTTAACATCTTACAACTAAACATGTATCCATGTTGCTTAGATAAACATAATCACTGTAAACATCTGCATGATCTGGGATTTTGTTTTTATTTTGAAATGGGAACTTTTTTTGTTTACAAGTTCATTGAAAACTAAAAACTTTCTGTAAAAAAAACCTATCTCACAAAGGGAGAAAGGTAATGGAGGAAATTATCAGCGAAGTAACCCTTATACTAAGTCTTGCAGAATGGGTAGACTTGTATTAAGTAGAAATAGAGGAGAATAAAAAATATAAAAAAGCAGGACAGGTACAAGGCACATTTGGGAAAAAATATAATTCACTTTGTTTGTAAGGGGGTAGGATGAGAGGGAAGTGGGACCGGTAAGTTATTTTTAGACCTGAGCATGGAAGGTCTTAAGTGCTAAAGTTAGTTTATATCTGTTTTGCTTTTTTTAAAAATTAATTTTTTATTTCTATAGGTTACTGGGGAACAGGTGGTGTTTGGTTACATGTGTAAGTTCTTTAGTGATGATTTGTGAGATTTTAGTGCACCCATTACCTGAGCAGTATATACTCAATTTGTAGTCTTTTATCTAAACCTGACCCCCTTCCCACCCTTTCCTCCTGAGTCCCCAGAGTCCATTGTGTCATTTTTATGCCTTTGCATCTTCACAGCTTAGCTCCCACTTATGAGTGAGAACATAAGATGTTTGACTTTCCATTCCTGATTTACTTCACTTAGAAGAACAGTCTCTAATCTCATCCAGGTTGCTGCAAATGCCATTAATTCATTCCTTTTTATGGCTGAGTAGTATTCTACCACATATAATAGTATTCCATCATATATAATATATATACTCTATATATAGTATATATATTATAATATACAGAGTATTATATATATCATATATAGTATTCTGTTATATTTTTTATATATATAATGTATATATATGATATATGATAAAATATATATATGATAAATATATATCACAGTTTCTTTATCCACTTGTTGATTCATGGGCATTTGGGTTGGTTCCACATTTTTGCAACTGCGAATTGTGCTGGTATAAACATGCATATGCAAGTATCTTTTTTGTATAATTTAGTTCTTTTCCTCTGGGTAGATACTCAGTAGCGGAATTGCTGGATCAAATGGTAGTTCTACTTTTAGTTATTTAAGGAACCTCCACACTGTTTTCCATAGCGGCTGTGCTAGTTTACATTCCCACCAGCAGTGTAGAAGTGTTCCCTGTTCACTGCATCCATGCCAACATCTACTGTTTTTTGATTTTTTGATTATGGGCATTCTTGCAGGATTAAGGTGGTATCGCATTGTGGTTTTGATTTGCATTTCCCTGATCATAAGTGATGTTGAGCATATTTTCATATGTTTGTTGGCCATTTGTATATCTTCTTTTGAGAATTGTCTGTTCATGTCCTTAGCCCACTTTTTGATGACATTGTTTGTTTTATTCTGGCTAATTTATTTGAGTTTGTTGCAGATTCTGGATATTAGTCCTTTGTCAGATATATCAATTGTGAGGATTTTCTCCCACTCTGTGGGTTGTCTGTTTACTCTGCTGGTTGTTCCTTTTGCCGTGCTAGACAATGGATACCACTGAAGCATTTTATTCATAAAAATAATTACAAATATTTTGTGTGTGTTCACTGTGTGCCAGTCATTGTACTAATATATTTTATATGTATTATTTTAGTCTCCAAACAACCATCTAAGGCAGGTGCTGTTATTATTTCCATTTTTTAGATGAGAAAATAAAAAGGTTGAATAATTGGTCATTTAGCTAGTAATTGGCAGAGTTGGCATTTGAACCCACGTCTGTGATTTAGCAAGCTGTGCTAGGTAAGAAGTATATAAGGAGGAATAGGAGTCTTGGTTTAAAAGAAAATGAAACCAGATCTATCCAGATGGAAGTGTCCTGGTGGCAGTGGAAACTATGAGACAGGAGTTCAGGAAAACAGTAGGGCTCGAGTTTAGGAAGACATTTTTGTGGGGATGTTGGGTGAAGTTGTGGGAATAGATGAGACTGTCCTGGAGAAATAGTGGCCAGAGATTAAAAGTGAAGACTCAAAACAGGACATTGGTGAATGGCAAAATTCAAGAGGAAGGGAAGGAAGGAGACACCAGCAAAGGAGGGGAAATAATCAGAAAGGTACAGGGAGAAAAATAAAGTGCAGAAACTCCAAGCTGAGGGTTTCCAAGACTGAGCATTGAATACTAAAAAGGACTGATGAAAATGTGAACTGAAGAAAAGCCATTTGACTTTTTTAAAATGGTGGATGTTAATAGTAATGTTTGAAAATGTACTACAAGGGGGTGAGGTCAAGGTCAAGATCCAAGTTAAGTAATAAGGCTGATGACAAAGAGAAAAGTGATGCTCAAGGAGTTATGGGTTGCAACAATTGTTAGGGTTGTGCTCCTTCATGTATTTCACAGAGCAGCCATGTTCACAGGATGAGGGAAAGAATCTGTGCCAAGGGCAAGAAACACCCTTGAGAGAGAAGGGTATAATTCACGGGAGAAGATGTCAGTTTAAGCAAAAAGGGACTGTGCAGTCTTATTGGTGGTTTCATCAATAATTTTCTATTAGAACTAAAAATGCATCTCAGTGACAAGTATAAAAAGATGTCTGCAGGGATTAATCTTTTGTCTTAAGAGCTGAATTACCTGGTTTAGCAGCCAAAGACCTTTTTCAAGTTTCTGTCTCTACTACTTGCTAGAGGAACTGTCTTGGACAAAAGATTTAGTCATGGAAAGTTGTCCCAGTTTCTTCACCTATGAAATGGAAATAATAGTATCCACCCTAACTATTCCACAGGATTATTGTGAGGATAAAATAGTTTTGTATGTTAAAGGTATAGAGAGCCCAGTAAAGGTTAAATGTTATTTCTTTCAGTGAGAATTCATAAGAATTGACTGATTCTTAGCCAGGCATGGTGGCACATGCCTGTAATCCCAGCCACTTGAGAAGCTGAGGCAGGAGAATTGCTTGAGCCCGGGAAGTGGAGGTTGCAATGAGCCAAGATCATGCCACTGCACTCTAGCCTGGGTGACAGAGTGACACTCTGTCTCAATAGAAAAAAAAAAAGAAAAAGAATTGACTGGTTCAAGGAAAACCAGCTGACCAGCCCAATGGTCATCATAAATGATTATAACTTTAGGAGGCTGATGAGGGAGGATCACTTGAGGCTAGGAGTTTGAGACCAGCCGGAACAGCATAGCAAGACCCTGTCTCTACAAAAATAATAATAATAACAATTAGCTGGGTGTGGTGGCATACACCTGTAGTTCCCCAGTTGCCGTACGAGAGCTGTAGTCCCAGCTACTTGAGAGGCTGATGTGGGAGGATCACTTGAGCCCAGGAGGCGGAGGCTGCAATGAGCCATGGTTATGCCACTGCATTCCAGCCTGGGCAACAGAGCAAGACTCTGCCTCAAAAAGTATAATAATAAAAAAATAAAGAAAGAATTATGGCTGAGGCATAAGTAGTTAAGAGTAATTAAAAAGAACTGGGTAGCAGGCTTAGAGAACATTTCACTTTGTGAAAAACAGAAAAATTCTGAAACAATGGAATATAGTTTGAATTCTGAATCATGGACTAAAAGCTCTGCAGGCCACACACGTGTGTATGTCACAGACTCCAAACAAGCAAGTCATAGTCTGGGCACATGATCAAAATCTCACAGGAAGCTTCCTCACATATTTCAAATCCATCTCAAATTCACATTCACAGATGTAAGAGCTGGGAAAGGACGGTTTTGACAGGGCTGAACTGAGCTATGGTATGAGTAGCACTCATCCCCAGAAAGTCTCTTGGTTTGAATTTCCTTTAAAAGGAGCTATAGCTGCAAAAATCTGTTTCACAAATGTGCTAACTATAAGCATTTTCCACAGTGTTTAATAAACCATGCAGATAAGAAAATATTATTGACAAACAAATTAATAAAATGCTCAAAATAATCTGATACTAAATGCTTGTAGCATGGCATGCAAATCACCAAAAATAAATGTGCTATGCTTCATATAAAATCTCCAGTAAGGCTGAGTGTGGTGGCTCACACCTATAATCCCAACACTCTGGGAGGCCGAGGTGAGAGAACTGCTTGAGGCCAGGAGTTTGAGACTAGCCTGGCCAACATAGTGAGACCTCATCTCTACAAAAAATCTTAAAAATCAGTGGGACATGGTGGTGCACATCTGTAGTTCTAGCTACTTGGGAGTCTGAGGCAGGAAGATTGCTTAAGCCCAAGAGTTTGAGGTCCCTACACTCCAGCCTAAGCGACAGAGGGAGACCTTGTCTCTAAATAAATAAATTAGTTAATTGAATGTCCAGTCAGTTGATATATCCAAATTCTTCCCATGGTAATTTTAAAAACTTTAGTCTTAGGAGAGTAAAAGTCATGGGCATAAGACTTCTTATAAACAACTCAGCCTAATGAGAAATAGACCCTTTATTTAAGTGTCATTTAAGTATCTATTTCTTCATTGATCTATTCATTTATTAACTCATGTAACAATCATTTGCAGACACCTACTATGTTGAGGTAGTATAAACTATAAATTCAACAAGTTTGATAAGGGAAATAAGAGAGATTGAGTGACAGCTTGAAGGGGAGGATTCTTTCAGGCCTGTGGGACCGGGTGGTGGCATGGAGACATTATTGTGGACTTGAGGGAGTTAATGTGACAGTCCTCGTGTCTCCAGACACTTTCTCTCTGTTAGGGAAGCAAGATTTCTATCCCCAGAGTATGTATGTGTTATGTCTGGACTGCAGTGGCACAGAACTGTGTTCAACGAGTGACTACCGCTCTGCTGTGTGCCCTGGGACTTGGGGTTAATTGATCAATCATTTCTACCCAGAAGGTAACCATGAGGACTGACGGAACCAGTGTGTACCAAGTGTCTGTTAAGTGTCTGGTCAATGGTTATCCATAAAGCTACTGCATGGCCATATGTAGGAAGAATACAGACCGTGGGGCAAATTTTTCCCACGTGTAACTCTCACAACAAAATAGCATTAAATACTTAATGTTTCTGGCTAAAGACCATTTCAAGACTTGCAGGACAAAAAAATAGAAAAAATATCTGACACTCAAATGGAGTTACAAAATTAAAACGGCTGAATTCCCCAGCATAAAAAAATATGAAGCAAGATTGAAATTTCAAGACTAAGTTTAATATGGAAAAATACAAATATGTTTGAGGCCTTTCACAGAGCAGCCAGCATGAAGCAACCAAGAAAACCACGGAAATAATCTGGCTGCCTGGAAATAGTCCGGAGTCAGCTGACACAGCCACACGAGAGCCCTCTTATGCTTGTCATAAGGGGTAAAGGAATAATTTCAGAAAATTACATTTAAAAGAGAATTATGGGGGAAGAAGATGCTCCCAGAGGAAACAAATAGTATGGATGTGAAGAGCAAATACAACTTTAACATGTTCTGAACTTCTTGGAAACTATGCTAAGTTTAGGCATTGCTAGGATTTGGTATGATTTAATCCCCAGCTTTCTGTTCTAAATTTTTGTTTTCTTTTTTACTCTCAAATAAATCATATGCTAGCACCAGCTGCAAAGTTACATATGTTGTATTAGACGATCTTCCATGAATACCTAACTGGAAATTCCAAGATTCAGGGCCATGTGAATCTAGGCTGGCTGCTTAACCAAAACTTAATTTAATTTTTTTCGTTTATTTTAGGAAAAAAAATTAACGAAAAGATGTTTCAAGCAACCAGTTTCCAATCCACGTCAGCAACTATGACATTTAATGAAACACTATGAGCATTTAGCATGAGAGCTCTGGACTCAGATGCAGGGAGCTTTGCTAGAGAAGGGAGGAAAAAGCAGGCATGATGTGGCGGGTTGTGGGGGACTCCAAGGCTCTATTTCCAACTTCCATCAGAGAACTTCTGTTTTCACCTGGTTTTCAAATTTGCTTTCCAAAAGGGATTTTGTTTAAGTAAAGGATACAGAGGTTTATAAAAGTTTGAAAACTTCTACATTGCAGGATGTGCAGGCTCTTGCCAGATGGGACAGTGTATGAGACTCTTCCAGGGTGACGTCTTAGGCAATTTCCTGTCCAATCACAGATGGTCACATGCTGCTTTCCTGAGTTAACCTATTAACTCACCCTTGTTTCCCAGGCCTCAGTGGAGCTAGGCTTGTCACGTCTTCACAGTGACTAGATTCCCTCACAGTCGAGTATATCTGCCACTCCTTGACTTTTAAAACATAGTCTATGTTCACCCTCTAATATGAAGAGCCCCTTTCACTATTTTCTTTGTCTGTGCTGGAGTCACTTCAGTGGCAAGTGTTCTTTGGTCTCTGCCGCACCCTCCCTCTGATGCCTCTGAGAAGAGGATTTCCTTTTCGTGAGAATGTCTTCCCATTCTTCTTACCCTCTTGAACTCACATGTTATGCCACTTAGATGAGGAAATTGTAGTTAAATAATTAGAAAGGATATGACTTATCTCAAATCAATCCAAGATATACTGAAGTATTGTTTATGAGTAAGATATCAGTCTTGACGCAGAAAGAAAACAGGAATCCATAAGGGGAGGAAAGTGTTGAAAAGCAAACCTGATACAGTGGGAAAGGTGGGAGACACCATAAGGTGCTGAAGTGATAAAACAGGCCAGTGTTTCTCCACTGTATGTTTTCAATAAATGCTTCCAAGGAAGGAGAGTGGGGCATGAGTAGGGGAGCTACAGAGATAAACCAACTTTTCTTACCAGGAATGCTACAGATAGCACTGGTGACACCGGTCACCAGTACCCAAGACAATTTAATGTGGAACATAAGTACAGGAATACACATCTTTCATTACAGAGCCATGTATTTATTTTAATGGGCAGGAGATGCTAAATAAGATCTTTTGAATGGAGGAATGCATAAATATATGAATGAATGCATACATGAAAGAATAAATAAATGCTGCCTAGCACCAAGGAGCGAAGATAGACTCATATCAAGGGAAACAAGTATGATTAAAAATAAGACCCCAGAGTCACGCTCAGTCTCTTTCCAGCCTTTTCATCATCCGGTACATTCAGACAAGTTTCAGGGAAGGATCCTATTTGTCCCATGATAATGATGGGCAAGGGGTGGGGAGTTATCTCATACTCCGCCTGTGGATGAGGGGTCTTCTCAGGTAAGGCTCTTAAATCCTAGGCCTGAGTAAATTTTTTCAAATTTTATTTTAGACAGGGTCCCTCTCTGTTGCCTAGGCTGGAGTGCAGCGGCACAATCACAGCTCAATGCAGCCTCAACCTCCCAGGCCCAAGTGATCCTCCCACCTCAGCCTCTTCAGTGACTAGGACTACAGGTGCATGACTCCATGCTTGGCTAACTTTAAAAAATGTTTGTTTGTTTGTTTGTTTTTTACAGAGATGGGGTCTCACCATGTTGCCCAGGCTGATCTTGAACTCCTGGGCTCAAGTGATTCCCCTGCCTCGGCCTCCTGAAATTCTGGGATTATAGGCTTGAGCCACCATGCCTGGCTCTGAGTAAAGATTAAGGGAAGCCATGGTGCTATCGCAATAGGGTACCAGGCAGCTTAACAAAGGCAGAAGGGAACCTCAGAGAACCCCGAAGAGCCACCGTAAAGTGAGTGCTGGGGGAGCTGAACTTCAGTCAGTACAGGTGCCGAACAGCCATCAGGTGCGCAGTGTTAGTAATTCCACCCTCTGCCCTGGGAGCAAGGTGTGTGGAGAAACCTGTAGCACTTTATGACCATCAGAACCAGTCTTTTTCAAAAAGACCATGGAGTACTCTTTGACCTGTGTATATAACAAGAACCTTTCTCAAATAGGAAAGAAATGAATTGGAGAAAACCACTGTTTACATGGCAGAGTGTGTCTCCTTCGCACACATCTTGTTTGAAGTTAATCATGACATTGCAACACCAAGTGATTCCAAATAATCTGCTAGGAGTCACCATTTCTAATGATTGCCTAGTCTATTCATAGCTAATCAAGAGGATGTTATAAAGCATGAGTCAGACAGCCTCTGGCTTTCTGGAAGGGCAAGGACTCTATATATACAGAGGGAGCTTCCTAGCTGGGATATTGGAGCAGCAAGAGGCTGGGAAGCCATCACTTACCTTGCACTGAGAAAGAAGACAAAGGCCAGTATGCACAGCTTTCCTCCACTGCTGCTGCTGCTGTTCTGGGGTGTGGTGTCTCACAGCTTCCCAGCGACTCTAGAAACACAAGAGCAAGATGTGGACTTAGTCCAGGTAAATGCTGCATTGCATGTGACAATAATGTAAATTTTTAGTTTGTATTTTTCTGCAGTAATGTAATAGAGTTTTTTAAGGATAGGTTTCTTATAAAGAGATTTTTTTTTTTTTTGCTAGAAACAGCACCCTCCACCCAAAATGTATCTAGCCATGCATACGCTCTCTTTTTCCAGTTGGAGGTGAGAGTGAACTAAAGGAACAACATCCAAACTTGTCTCCACAAATTGTAGACTTGTAACAGTATGCAAATCTTGCTCTACAAAAATTGCTCTACTATGAAGTTCTTACTTCACAATAACTAATAGTAGGGACATTTCTACTCTGAAATTTCATTTCTCACCAAAAATAAGGATAAAAGCAACTGCGAAATCTAAACACAAGGTTTAAAAGCAGTTCTCTGTTTTGGCTAAAACTTAATGCCATCAATTTTTAGAATAATGAGAAAGATTTCCCATGCAGTGTTTCGATAATTTTCTTTTGTCAGAAATACCTGGAAAAATACTACAACCTGAAGAATGATGGGAGGCAAGTTGAAAAGCGGAGAAATAGTGGCCCAGTGGTTGAAAAATTGAAGCAAATGCAGGAATTCTTTGGGCTGAAAGTGACTGGGAAACCAGATGCTGAAACCCTGAAGGTGATGAAGCAGCCCAGATGTGGAGTGCCTGATGTGGCTCAGTTTGTCCTCACTGAGGGGAACCCTCGCTGGGAGCAAACACATCTGACCTACAGGTAGGCAGACTGAGGGCCAGAGTGAGAGAGCTATTTCCCATGACAGTGGTAAGAAGTCATGTCCAATGTGTCTCTATTTTGTTTCATTCTAAGGATTGAAAATTACACGCCAGATTTGCCAAGAGCAGATGTGGACCATGCCATTGAGAAAGCCTTCCAACTCTGGAGTAATGTCACACCTCTGACATTCACCAAGGTCTCTGAGGGTCAAGCAGACATCATGATATCTTTTGTCAGGGGAGGTAAGTTCTTCTTATAGCACCTTAACCTCACCTTGCCCCTAGATCTCGTAGCTTTGCAACTGGAATTGATTGTTTAAGATGAATGTTGATTTTATGGGCTCGAAGAGGGAAACTGCATCACAGTTGATGGAAGTCTGTTGGCCTCTTAACAAAGCTAATGCTTGCCCTTCTGGCTTAGCTTACATAAGAACCACAAGGAATCTTTGTTGAATTGTTTCTTTCAGATCATCGGGACAACTCTCCTTTTGATGGACCTGGAGGAAATCTTGCTCATGCTTTTCAACCAGGCCCAGGTATTGGAGGGGATGCTCATTTTGATGAAGATGAAAGGTGGACCAACAATTTCAGAGGTAAGCCAATCAAATTTGCCTCTCTCAATTCTCCCACCCCTTCATGTTTCATTGTAATATTGGTTGATTTAGTTGAAAGAATGCATTCATAGAAGTATATATTTTTCTATTACCACTCAGAAAATTAGTGATACACTTAGAAAAGTGAAAGAGCGGTCTTTTCTGCTAGCTAACAACATCTTAGCAGTGACAACTAGGCCACTCTAAAATTTTTATTAAGAAAATTGTTGAAAACTTTGATGTTTTAATTGTGGGCATCAACATTGAAACTTTTTCATTAGAAGAAAACAGTGAAATTTAACAGCGGTCATAAACTTATGTGGAAATTAAAGAAAAGGAAGGCTTTTTGTGTTTTCCAAAATTTCCAGCAGTCAACATTTATCAGTTTTGTAAATAAGAAAAATATTAAATATTAGGCTGGGCGCAGTGGCTCATGCCTGTAATCCCAGCACTTTGGGAGGCCAAGGCAGGCAGATCACAACGTCAGGAGTTTGACACCAGCCTGACCAATATGGTGAAACCCTGTCTCTTCTAAAAATATAAAAATTAGACAGGCATGGTGGCACACGTCTGTAATCTCAGCTACTCAGGAGGCTGAGGCAGGAGAACCGCCTGAACCCAGGAGGCAGAGGTTGCAGTGAGCCAAGATCATGCCACTGCCCTCCAGCCTGGGTGACAGAGCAAGACTCCGTCTCAAGAAAGAAAAAAAGAAAAAGAAAAATATTAAATGTTAATAGAACATTTTGCTTCTGTGTGAAATAGTACGTGTCATTTAATCATTGATAATATTGATTAATCTGTGGTGCGCTTTCAGTCAGCTGAGTTTGTCTTTTAATTGTATCAATGTAATCATAGAGTTTAGGTTTCAACATGTCTCTTCGTTATTAATAAATGCATGCCTTCTGCCTTCGGAAAAAAGATATACATGCATATATTTCAAAAGTCACTGATAAAATAGTAACATGAGTCCTTGTAGTTGTAAATTATTTATTAGTTAAATGCCTCAAAACTGAATACCTTTCAAATAATTACAAATTGATTTATTGGCCTTTTTAGAGTACAACTTACATCGTGTTGCAGCTCATGAACTCGGCCATTCTCTTGGACTCTCCCATTCTACTGATATCGGGGCTTTGATGTACCCTAGCTACACCTTCAGTGGTGATGTTCAGCTAGCTCAGGATGACATTGATGGCATCCAAGCCATATATGGTGAGTATGGGGAAAAACATTACGGACAAGGGCCTGGTGGTCTTTATATGTATTTCAAATAAAACAGCCATTAGCGATATCCTTGAAGAAGCTGTCTTCATTGTTTATGTAGTTTTCTAATACTAGGCAAAACTAACTCTAGGTATTTTATTTTCCTTAGGACGTTCCCAAAATCCTGTCCAGCCCATCGGCCCACAAACCCCAAAAGCGTGTGACAGTAAGCTAACCTTTGATGCTATAACTACGATTCGGGGAGAAGTGATGTTCTTTAAAGACAGGTAAGATGTCAGTTCTTCTTTGTGATCTGCATTTGTAATAATAACAACATTCACCACTATGATTAACTATTATGCTTCACATGTTACTTATTTCATGCTGATTTACATCTATAATCACATGGTAGCAACCACATGCATTTGTGCAACATAATGTACTTGTAACAACTTTGTTTTTCTACATGTATTAGGTCAACTGATTCTCAGAAAATATAGTTGATTTTGAAAATCAGTATGTATGATCTTTTTTTACAGATTAGCAAAGTAAGTCAGAGAGAAGGAAAGAGATCTTTTGGGGGCATAGAGCTCATTGGTAGCAGAGCAGTTATTGGTCTTCTGTTCCCTATTTCAGGTCTCTTTTCATTATGCCACTCTTTATGGTGATAAGTATCATTGGACTTTCTTAGGAGAAAGTGGTCCTTTCCATAGCAACATCTCACTGATGAGGGTTGCATAGCCATCCTTTAATTATCTCCCCTGCCATCCTGGAAAAATGGCCCTCCCAAAGCCTATTAACTTGAAGGGTCTCTGTTGCCCCCTGGAGGCCCAGAGAAGAAGAGAAGAGAGGGCACCAATGCTGGGAAAGTCCCCAAGAACTGATGAAATCCCTCCTGGGACAGATAGGGGCAGCCACAACATGGTGCTTCCCTCTTCAAAGAAGAATCCTAGAACTCCCTCTGCAGCATGTGGACTCAAAAAGTTGGGGTCATCTCACATGCAAGGAGGAGGCCTGCTCTCTGTACCATAGTGATTCCTAAAGGATCAGGCAAAATAATAACACACTCTTTTGGTGTGTTATTGCACACCGCATTTGGTGAATGATGCAGTCCACAGAAAGATCAACACATAGAAATTCAGGGTGGCCTGAAAGGCTCATTCTCTGCAGCCTCTCAAGTGCTGTGGCACTGTTTTACTACTCTGTAGTCGCATCTCTCCTAGAATTCAGGGCACTGGCTCATAATTCTTTCTGCCCTCTCTTTACTTTTTAAGTGTAAAAGATAAGGCTGGAGGTAAACTATACAGGGTGTGGTTCAATGCTGGGACAAGTTAAGAAAACACATGGTTTTAAAGGAAACCTCTCAGTACAACAGGACACACCTATCAAACCAAATATTACTAGATGGAACAGGACCAATTTGAGGATTTGCCAGAATTGAAAGGACACAGAGATCATTTAAATGTCGCCATGTCGAGGAGACATGAAAGGCTAGAGATAGAGATAGTAACTGATTTGCCTAAGGCATCACAGCCAGGCAGAGGAAGGACTGGACCTAGAAGTCAGGTTTCCGACAGCCAAGGCCGTAGGCTTCCCTGTGGCCTGGAATCTGGAGCTCTTCTGTGTCAGCCCACATAACAGTCTATGCTGTGCTGTTACCCTAGTCCCTATTAAGCTCTATAATCCACTTTGTGTAAATACTACTAACCAAGGGACAACAAAGGGATTGGCTGCCAGAGCGGAGTTTAAAAATCAACCTTAGCCTCTTACCAGCTGGGTGGCCTTAGACACCTCCCTTAGTCTCCCCAACCTCAATTTCTCATCCTCAAATACTCTCTTGTAGTGTCCTTGTGATAAGGTCTGATGTAAGGAATGGGCCTGGTGTGTTGTAAGTAATCACTAAATAATAGGATATTAGAGTCATGGTCCAGTTGGTAATGTGCACAGCCGATCCCTAATGGCTCACCAAAGCTGACTGTTAAATTTTGAAGAATTTTGCAAGCTAGCTGTGAACCATAGCCATTATTAAAAATTAAATTATAGGCCAGGTGCAGTGGCTCACACTTGTAATCGCAGCACTTTGGGAGGCGGAGGCGGGGGAATCATTTGAGATCAGGAGTTCAAGACCAGCCTGGCCAATATGGTGAAACCCTGTCTCTACTAAAAGTACAAAAATTAGCTGGGCGTGTTGGCCTGTACCTGTAATCCCAGCTACTCAGGAGGCTGAGGCAGGAGAATCCTTGAATCTGGGAGGCAGAGGTTGCTCTGAGCCAAGATTGTACCACTACACTCCAGCCTGGGTGAGAGAGTGAGACTCTGTCTCAAAAAAGTAAATAAATAAAAAAGAGATAAAACTTAAATTATATAAACAAAATTAAATTACATTAAAATAAAAGGTAATAAAAATAATAAAAATTCATCAGTTTGTCATAATTTTTACTGCATTTTTCTACTTATTTATGTTCTTAAAGTTACTTATGCCTATTTTATTTGTATGCTATACAATGGTGCTCCACTGAGACTCTTGAAATTCATCATAATGGGAGTATTTCAAGCTAGTGAAATCAGCAAATGCTATAAACCAACCCTTCTTTGGAGAGCTGAATGTTATACATTTACCAGCACACCACTAGTGCCAGCAACAAGAAGGAGCTGGAGCTGGATATCTGCCAGAGATTACCAGAAATTAGATGGAAACTTTTCTTGCTTTTTTTCTAATCAGATTCTACATGCGCACAAATCCCTTCTACCCGGAAGTTGAGCTCAATTTCATTTCTGTTTTCTGGCCACAACTGCCAAATGGGCTTGAAGCTGCTTACGAATTTGCCGACAGAGATGAAGTCCGGTTTTTCAAAGGTAATCTTTCTAATTATTTTTCACTGCTTTAATAAATCAATTTTTCATTCCCTTTGGGGCTGAGATATAAGGTTACTAGCTACATTCTCTCCAGGGACTTTTGAAAATCTCAGTCTCACCAACCAAATCAATGAAAGTCCATCAACTTAACTAAACGGTGCGTAGCGCATTTTGGAGTCATTTTAAACAAAAGGCAAATGACTGGAGATAGAACGTTCTGGCCTTTTTAATGAATCTAGATTTACAAAAATATTTTCTGCACAAACTATGTATTTAAAACCCCCTCCATATTCCTGGGAGTACTCAAAGTAAAACTCGAGACACTATGCCACGCACCAATATTTTTGCAAACGTGTGTTTAACGTAGTACAATGAGTAAGACATTTGACTCAGCCATACACTCAAGGCAAAGAATTAAATGCAGGTCAGATGGGCCAAACGCTTTGAAACAGGATTTTTAGCCTTTAAATTATGAAATTAAATGGATGTTAGAGACAGAAAGTTTCAAATTCCTTTTTCATGAGGGGTAAATAGCACGTGTGTACAGTAACAGAAATCTTGGCTTTAGTATATGAGACCAGCTTTATGTGATGAGGGGCTTACTGAGTATAAACACGGAATCTGGACACAGCATTAATTCAAGTATTTGGAACTATCTTCTAGTCAAATGCAGTGATTTGAATCCAGGATTGCAAACCCTTACAGGTTATGAGTCACTACAGCACTTCACCCTTTATGATACAAATGGTTTGAACTTCCACAGTCCATGAGCAAACCTGGAGAACCGAAGTTTATATCACCAAGGTGGCATAACTAACTCTTTAGTCATTTGAACATCTGACTGTGGAAAGAAGCCCCCAACTCCATAAACAAGTCATTCTCAAAGCTTGCTGCAGATTAGAATCAACTAAGAAGCTTCCAAAGATAGACACATTTAATTGGTCTGGGATAGGGTCCTGGCATCAGTATTTTCAAAAATCTCCCTAGATGATTCTAATCTGCAGCCAGGGTACTGCACTAGCATGTGAAACTAAGAACTTAGCTGAAAATTCACTTACTGCCTATTGAAGTCTTAGGCAAGTGTTTTATCACTCTTTCTTGATTGGCAGGGAATAAGTACTGGGCTGTTCAGGGACAGAATGTGCTACACGGATACCCCAAGGACATCTACAGCTCCTTTGGCTTCCCTAGAACTGTGAAGCATATCGATGCTGCTCTTTCTGAGGAAAACACTGGAAAAACCTACTTCTTTGTTGCTAACAAATACTGGAGGTAAGTTTAAGTGCAGAGAATGTTAGGGCCTCAGTTCTTTCTACATAAAAAGTTCTAGAATAGCCCATTTCAAAGTGAGTCTCAAACTGCCTTGGCCGGCATCCTTTCCTTCAGATGGCTGGTGCCAATCTATCATCTATTTAGTCTATTGACCAATAATCATCACACAATGCCTGCACTGGGAATCCAGAGAATGTAGGGGGATGAATTTTAAAAGGATGTAGAATTGAGGACATTCATCTTAACGGAGCTACTTTGGCCAAAAGTTACTTATCTTCCATAGTATGTTACCTCGATAGGACATAGCGTAGAACCTACTGGAGAATTCGATGCTGGATTTCAGAGGGGCCTTAAAGGCCTTTTAGTTCACCCAACATTCCACCTTATCCCATCCACTCCCCATTTCACAAATGATCTATAAAATGAAATATTCTGGTTAAATTCCTCATTGTGTATTTTCTGTAATGATTTTCAGAGTGCACATGTTTAGCAAAAGGTCTGACACTCTTAACTCTTTTCTGACCAGGTATGATGAATATAAACGATCTATGGATCCAGGTTATCCCAAAATGATAGCACATGACTTTCCTGGAATTGGCCACAAAGTTGATGCAGTTTTCATGAAAGATGGTAAGTGAATATACATGTATTTCCTCCATTTCATTGCCGTAGCAATAACATCATTATTGTTAGTTGGAACAGCAAATGCCAAAAATATCTGTGCTCACAGATGAATTGGTTTCTCAAGAATTCAAGTTAAACCTAGAAACTACTTGTATAATGTAGTAAGTCTCTTTTGTTTTGTTTCTAGGATTTTTCTATTTCTTTCATGGAACAAGACAATACAAATTTGATCCTAAAACGAAGAGAATTTTGACTCTCCAGAAAGCTAATAGCTGGTTCAACTGCAGGAAAAATTGAACATTACTAATTTGAATGGAAAACACATGGTGTGAGTCCAAAGAAGGTGTTTTCCTGAAGAACTGTCTATTTTCTCAGTCATTTTTAACCTCTAGAGTCACTGATACACAGAATATAATCTTATTTATACCTCAGTTTGCATATTTTTTTACTATTTAGAATGTAGCCCTTTTTGTACTGATATAATTTAGTTCCACAAATGGTGGGTACAAAAAGTCAAGTTTGTGGCTTATGGATTCATATAGGCCAGAGTTGCAAAGATCTTTTCCAGAGTATGCAACTCTGACGTTGATCCCAGAGAGCAGCTTCAGTGACAAACATATCCTTTCAAGACAGAAAGAGACAGGAGACATGAGTCTTTGCCGGAGGAAAAGCAGCTCAAGAACACATGTGCAGTCACTGGTGTCACCCTGGATAGGCAAGGGATAACTCTTCTAACACAAAATAAGTGTTTTATGTTTGGAATAAAGTCAACCTTGTTTCTACTGTTTTATACACTTTCTATATTTATTATTGTTACTTTCTGATGACAACGCCACCCTTACAGAGACTGCTTTTCAAATTTGAAATGGGAAGTAGACAATATAAAAAATGTTCATGTGGGAAATGAGGATATACAAAAAACTCAACTATTCTCTATTCACATGGAATTTATACCATATAAACTGGGGTGGGGGAGGGGAATCCATTTCCCTTGCCCCATTTATGGATTCCAAAAGTGGTTTTAGGTAAAATCAGTGACATCATGGTAGAGCGTTCTAGGTGTATGTCATTTTGTCTCTTCTGAACATATGGGAGGGTTCCATTTTCCCACAGTCCAACTCCTTGCAGAGTTGGGTGGTGGGCAGTGGGGCATCTGACTACTTCTAGCCAGAGGGTTGAGTGAAGAAGTGACAAATATCATTTTCAGACTGGAACATTTAATTGCTGGTGGAAATTTCTCTAGTAGTCTACTCCTTCTGTCCTGTGGTAGAAGTACATCATGAGAGAGTTGCCACAAGACAGAACAAGCTGAATTGCTGGAGGTAAATGCTCCAAATAGTTACACAAACCTCAGTAGACTTTGCTTAAGCAGGAAATCAAATTTTAGGCTGGCCATGGTGGCTCACACCTATAATCCTAGCATTTTGGGTGGCTGAGACAGGAGGATTGCTTGAGACTAGGAGTTTGAGACCAGCCTGGGCAACATAGTAAGGCTCTACGTCTACAAAAAAAAATTTAAAAATAGCTGAGTATAGTGGTACACACCTGTATTCCCAGCTACTCTGAGGGCTGAGATGGGAGGATCACTTGAGCCCAGGAGTTGGAGGCTTCAGTGAGTCATAATCGCACCACTTTATTAGTTCGTTCTCACATTGCTATAAAGAATTACCTCTGACTGGATAATTTATAAAGAAAAGAGGTTTAATTGGCTCACGGTTTCACCGGCTGTACAGGGAGCATGGCTGGAAAGACCTCAGGAAACTTATAATCATGACAGAAGGTGAAAGAGAAGCCGGCATGTCCTACGTGGCTGGAGCAAGAGGAAGAGAGAGAGCAGGTGGAAGTGCTACACACTTTCAAACAACCAGATCTTGTGAGAACTCACTCACTATCACAAGAACAGCAAAGGGGAAATCCACTCACATGATTCAGTTACCTCCCACCAGATCCCTCCTCCAACGCTGAGGAATTACAATTCCACACAAGATTTGCCTCGGGACACAGAGCCAAACCATATCACCGCTGCGCTCCAGCCTGGGTTACAGAATGAGATTCTTGTCTCTAAACATATATACAACTTTTATTTCCTAAGCCACTAAGATTTTCTATTTGATTAATGCTGCATAATATAGTTTGTCAAGATAATCACTAGTTTATCATGACTAATTTGGGAGGAAAGTTTATGTAGGCAGGAGTCTTGCAAGTAGCTTTACACAGGCAGAAGCAAGCTCTACACAGGCAGAAGTAGTACCTCCCTCTTGCCAGAGGAGCACAAACTATGCTTGCATGGAGAATTGATAAAGACCTCATTTGAGACAAAAACCTCACAAGATAGTGCTTGCCCTCATCCCAGATTGATCTTCCCTCTGCTCATTATTTTCAGGCAAATGACTAAGATCAGGTCTCAGCATAGTTCAGATCCTAGCTATGGTAGGAAATATAGGTTACTAACCAAAAGAATTATAGGACCTGGGCATTAAGTATCATCAGAAATCAAGGAAACACATATGGGAGTAAATCTGAAAGGCATCAGATTAAGTTGGGGGATGTAAGGCTGAAGAGAGAAGAATTTATTGACATCGATACACACATTCTTGACTTGGGAATCAATTTCCTAGAAAGGAAACCAGGAGCTTGTCTAATACTCTGCTGACATGGATTCTCAAATCTTGGACACAATGATGTCCTGTGGCATATGAGGTGGAGATGCCAGAATTTCTGTGGCATGATTTTGAGGAAGAAGTCAGAAGACACAGAGAGATTTGAACCTTAAAATGAATCTATTACATGAAATTGAAGAACCCACCATCATACTCTGTTGCCTGGGAAGGCCCAGAGGGCACTCTTTTCATTGGCTTTCATTGAAGCCATAAGGACCACACTGGTGAGGGTGCACACTGGTGTCTCAGAGATACCTGGTGGTGGTTGTTCTCTGTGAGGTGGGTTAAGAATATGAGGTGTTTCTGGGGAATTGGCCTCTCTAGTATCATTAAAGATGATGGGATAGCAGAATGGTAAAAGTGCATACATACAGATGTATATGTATATACATGTATATACATACACATCCATATCCATATACATATATATACATATGTATGTACACATGCATACATATATCTCTCCATTTATATACACACATATACTATATATACATATACATATGTATATACAAATCATACTTATCATATGTATGTACAAATAATATAAAACATGCATAATATGTATATGTTATAATATGTATACAAAAATCATAAAAAACATACATATATGTATGTGTGTGTGTATATATATATGTATGTGTATATATGGAGACAGAAATCCTCCTTCAAGGGGACCTAGTCTCTCTCTCTCTCCCTCTCTCTATCTCTCTCTCTCTCTCTCACACACACACACACACACACACATCTTAGTAACTGTGATGCCACTACATACCAAGGATTACATATGTCTTTTAAATTATCCTCATAAAGGTACCTATGGCCATCCACCAGGGTAACCGTGCACTGGGGAAGAAGAGTACTCAGATTTGGCAAGGACAGTTGGATACCAGATCTGAACTGAGCTGGTATCAGAGGTCCCAACATGGTATTAAGGCCTTCCAGTTTAGAAAGGAGGTATATGAGGGAAAGTGATAAATAGGGTTCTGACTCAAGGTCATCTCACAGTGGGCCCAGCGGGCCCACAGACCATCTTGTGGTTGTTCCCTGACTTCTGGAATAAGATCTTTATGGTAGGAAGGGCCAACTAGTAGCCCCTGAAACTGCTCCTCCTAAACTCTGGCCAAAATAGTAAACCAAAAGCAGCAAAAAACCAATGTCACATCCTGGGAGGATTGCACAGACTGGTTACACTATCAGAGTTTTAAAAGCAACAAGGAGGGTAATCCTCTCACAGCCTCACTCAATGAATCCTTGGAGCCCTTGCATAAACCCAATACATCATGACGGTGGCCTTACCTAGTGGGTAACTACCTAGCAGGTAACTTACCTAGTGGGTAATTATCATCACAGCTACTATTTCAGACATGATTTCTTTACTAGAGCAAATTAACACAGCCTCAGAAACATGATACAGAGTGATTCAAGAGGAGTGTTTAGAGATTTCCCCTGCTGTCTTTGAGCCCACAAATGCACTAGAAAGTAGGGGTTTTGCTTGTTTGGGTTTTGTTTGGGTTTTAAACGAGGCTCTAGCCTTCCAGTTTGAATCCTTTTAGAGAATTTAACCCCAAACACCACTCTAAGGGGAAGTAGTAGCTTTTTTCCAGACCTAGCCCATATGTCTTAAAGGGGCAGTGTTCTGGCCAATGAATTGCAGTGCAAAGCTGCAAGATCTGCTCTGCCACTCAACTCTTTGTGATCTTGACCATTCTGAATCTTCGTTTCCTTTCTATGGTAAAGGGAAAATAATACTAACTTCCAGGATTGTCGTAAAGATAGAAGAGGTTAGATCACCTAGCACAGTGCCTGTCATGTTGAAAATATTCAACAAATGATAATTGCCCTTTTCTTTCGCATATTCCCCTACAGCCAGAATTTTTCTTCAGTGCTTCTTTCCTCCTCACTGAGGGTCTTCCCACCAGAAAAGCCCACTGCACCAAGGAATCAACAGAGCAACTAACCTAACACATTGTTACTGTATCTCCTACACATTGGAAATACAGTAACTGCATTCATAGAGCATTATTTTATGTGTTTAGGTATTGTTAAAATAATAATGGCCATTATAGGACACAACATAAAATTATGCTTTCTAATATTCACAACACTGAAGTCATGATTCTGAGGTCCGTCTAACCCCTACTTTGATACTTTGCCTCCTTCCATTGATAGTATTTTCTATAGCAAGCACAAGTGGCCTGCAATATTTGACTAAACTATCAGAATAGAGAAAAGAATGAATATAAATCTAACAATAAACTGTGTTCCCATTGTGAAGCAGTCAAATTGGAACTAAAAGCATGGGAAAGAGATCAACTTTTCACTTGTTATGAGTCTGTGTAAAAACCAGTAATTTCCAACAAAAGAAGAAGTTGCAAAATACTGAAGTCAATGTCATGCCATGGTTGACGCAGGATTATATGTATAAGTGTACAACCTTAAAATCAGAGGTCTTTGGGTATTGAAAATTAATAGCTAACCAGTTTTCCCAAGAATTGAATAAACTGGAAGTGAGAAACCGTTAGGCATTTCTCAGTCTTAGTTACTGAAATTGCAATGGATTGTAGACCTGCATTCTGTCTGGATCACATCAGTGCAGCACAGGCCAAGAGGAACTTCAAGTGACAGAACAGATAAACATAGATCAAATGAAGTAGCTGTGTTAGCAGGATGATCAGAGAGTTGGGAGAAAAGAACAAAAGCTAAGGAGATAAATTGAAGGCATGTTCAGGGGTGAGTTCAAGAATGAGAGATAGGCCAGGCGCGGTGGCTCATGCCTGTAATCCCAGCACTTTGGGAGGCCGAGGCGGGCGGATCATGAGATCAGGAGATCGAGACCATCCTGGCTAACACGGTGAAACCCTGTCTCTACTAAAAATACAGAAAATTAGCTGGGCGTGGTGGCGGGCGCCTGTAGTCCCAGCTACTCGGGAGGCTGAGGCAGGAGAATGGTGTGAACCCAGGAGGCAGAGCTGGCAGTGAGCTGAAATTGCGCCACTGCGCTCCAGCCTGGGAGACAGAGTGAGACTCTGTCTCAAAAAAAAAAAAAAAAAAAGAATGAGAGATAAAGAACAGTGTCAAGACATAAAAGAAAAAAAGCTGGGGAAGAACCAAGGTCCAAGCCAAGAGGTTGTTTTAAAACTTTTGTTATTACTATTATTTTAAATATATTTGGGGGGTACAAGTGCAGTTTTGTCACATGGATATATTGCATAGTGTTGAAGTCTGAGCTTTTAGTGTAACTCTCACTGGAACAGAAGACATTGTGCCCCCATTAGATAATTTCTCATCCCTCTTTTCCCTCCCACCCTCTTGAGTGCCCAGTGTCTATTATTCCACACAGTATATCCATGTGTACACATTATTTAGCTCCCACTTGTAAATCAGAACATGCAGTATTTGACTTTCTGTTTCTAAGTTATTTCACATAACGTAATGACCTCCACTTCCATCCATGTTACTGCTAAAGACATTACGTCATTCTTTTTATGGCTGCATAGTATTCCAAACAGTATGAGGATTTCTCAAAGACCAAAAAAATAGAACTACCATTCAACCCAGCAATCCCACTACTGGATATCCACCCAAAGGAAAAGAAATCATTATGTCAAAAAGATACCTGTACTTGTATGTTAATCGCAGCACTATTCACAATAGCAAAGATATGGAATGAAGCCAAGAAGTTTTTGATAAACATCCAAGTTGTAGTCATGAAGGTTTCTTCTGGCAGTTCTGAATAATCTCTTCCCACTTGTTAGCTTTTGATCGTGAGCTTATTATTCAATTTTTCTAATCTCAACTTTGTTGGGTTGTTCTGAAGTTTAAAAATAACTCACATTTAAGAACTGACTACAGTGGAAGCTCAATACCAGGCGTTTCACCTTTCTTTAAGTATGAGCTCTGTATGCTTCCTTGCCTGACCCTATACATACTTCAGTAGGTTTAACAAGTAATGAATTATATAAAGACAAACATAGGACTCACCTGCTCCAGGGCATTAATTTCTACCAGGTGTCATGGTTTAATGCAGGACAAGTTTAAACACTAACATCATTTCTGTGAGGCATGTGCTACCCTATAGGCTCCCAATTATAGTCGTAGCTATTACTACAATGTAAACTTTCATTGTATCATTACCACATAATAAAATCCATTAACAGGATGTGTCAACACTAATAAAGTTATGACTCAAGCGAAAATGGGCATCTCACAGCTTGTCAAATCAGGGCCTAGGGGCATTGTCACAGATTTGTCAGGCCAACAAGCTTTGTCTGTTAAAGGTGTTGGAGTGAAATAAGAAGAGATTTGTTCCCCAGCATAAAGCATACAAAATAACTTTGTGAGTGTGGTTATATCCACCCCATTTTACAGATGACAAAATAATGGCCTGAATTAATTACACACAGTCATGTGTGACTTAACAATGGGGACACATTCTAAGAAACATGTCCTTAGGCAATTTATCCATTGTGCAAACACCATGGATTAAACTTACACAAACCTCTATGGTACAGCCTACTACATGCCTAGACTATGTGGTATAGCCTTTTAAAAATTTCTTGGGGAAAGTTATCCTCCCATCTCAGCCTTCCAAGTAGCTGAGAGTAGAGGTGTCAGCCACCATGCCCAGCAAGCCTATTACTCCTAGGCTACAAACCTATACAGCATGAAATTCTACTGAATACTGGAGGCAATTGTAACATAATAATAAATATTACTGTATCTACACATATTTTAACATTAAAAAATACAATAAAAAGATGGTATTAAAGATAAAAAATGGTACAACTATATAGGGCACTAACCAGGAATGAAGCTTGCCAGACTGGAAGTTGCTCTAAGTGAGTCAGTGAGTGAGTGGTGAGTGAATCTGTACACTATGTAGACTTTATGAACATTGTATGCCTAGACTACACTAAATTTATAAAAGCATTTTTCTTTCATCAATATAAATTAACCTTAGCTTACTGTAGTAACTTTTTTACTTTATAAACTTTTTAATTTAAAACTTTTTTTGACTCTTTTGTAATAACACTTAGGTTAAACACAAACGTTTCACAGAGGTACAAAAATATTTTTTTCTTGATATCCTTATCCTATAAGCTTTCTACTATCTTTAATTTTTTTTATTTTTTAAACTATTTTTTGAGAATGAAGACACAAAACACGAATTAGCCCAGGCCTACACAGGATCAGGATCATCAATATCACTGTTTTCTACCTTCACATCAAGTTCCACTAGAAGGTCTTTCAGGGCAGTAACGCTGATGCAGCTGTCGTTTCCTATGATAATAATGCCTGCATAGGGCAGTAACCATGGAATGCCTTCTGAAGGACCTGCCTGAAGCAGTTTTACAGTTAACTTTTAAAAAAAAGGTACACTCTAAAATAAATGATAAAATGTATAGTAAATGCATAAACAGTCATTTATCACTATTATCAAGAATTATGTACTGTACACAATTGCATGTGCTAGACTTTCGTATGGCAGCACAGTAGGTTTGCTTACACCAGCATCATCACAAACACATGGGTAATGTATTGTACTATGACATTATGTTGGCTACAATGACAATAGCTGATGGGTGCTTATCAGCTCTGTATTAGTTTGTTCTTGCATTGCTATCAAAAATACCTGAGACTGGGTAACTTATAAAGAAAAGAGATTTAATTGGTTCACGGTTCTGCAGGCTATATGAGAACCATGGTGGCACCTTCTTCTGGGGAGGCCTCAGGAAACTTACAATCATGGCGGAAGGCAAAAGAGGAGCCTGCACTTTACATGGCCAGAGCAGGAGAAGAAAGAGAGGGGCTAGGTGCTACACACTTTTAAACATCCAGATCTCATGATAACTCACTCACTCACTATGACAAGAACATCACCGATGGGATGGTGCTAAATGGGCATGAGAAATCCGCCCCCGTGATCCAATCACCTCCCACCAGGCTTCACCTCCAACACTGGGAATGACAGTTCGACATGAGATTTGGGCAGGGACACAGATCCAAACCATATCAAGCTCCATTATAATCATATGGGACCACCATCATATATGTGGTCCATTGTTGACTGAAACATTATACAGTGCCTGACTGTACTTGCTCAATGTCCAGCTGACTTTATTTGAGTCTAGTTGTCAGTCCTTCTCCCTCTGATATTCAAGCTGATGTCACCACACTGTAGAGCAAACTCTTTGGCAACAGTAAGTCACAAGTTGACTTGGCTGGCTCAGTGTATATCCCAGTTTCTCTCCAACTCTGGCTTGGAAGTCTCAGAGCCTCTTGGTTCCTGGAAGTCTCACCTGTCCAGGCTACCTTAAGTAGGGTGGGGATGGTGGGCGATACTGAAAAGATCATTCCTACACACTTATTATTTTAATCTCTCATCACTTTGCAATTATGTACTTCAGACATGGTAGAGTTAATTTATCTTTAGTGAGAGAAAAATATAGTTCTTTACTATAAGAATTTCAGGGTTCTTTATATTAACAGGTTAATTTGACAAAACAGTTATTGCAGACTTACTGTGTTACTGCGTAAAAAGCACTTTATTTGGCTGAGAAAACAAGAAAGAAAATACTATTTGTGGGCAGGGGTGGATCGTTAGACATGTGAAAGAAAGGGAGGATTTGAAATCATTTCCCATTACAGATCTCAATCCATCTCCTCCTTTGTACCTTAAGAGGAGAAAGAAAGGGGGAAAAGAATTTTTAAAAGCAAAGAAGAGGAAGAGGGTAGGAGGACCATTTCAGTCTAACATGCAATTTAATTTTTTCCATTTAACAAGTTTTATGGAGCAGTTACTTTGAACATAATTATACACTGGGAAATGGAGAATGAGTGAACACCAAAGCTTCTCTCTTTGGATTCTTTTCTCTACATGCTCCATGTCCTTCTCACAATACCCCTACTCCACGGCCAGTAAATCCATCTGAAAATCAATAATAGCTATTGTAAACAAGGACTCAAGAAGTGAAATATTTGTTTTAATATCTTTGTAAATAACAACTCCCACATTTAGACCACGACTATATTTGGAATTTATTTCCGTTGACCTACTTAATTCTTACCTGCTTATATTTAAGTTTAAAACATAATCTTCTTAAAAGAAAATTGCACTGATTTTAAAATGTCAAAACATTTGGCATTTTACCAAGCTTGTCAGCTCTCTTTAAGTAAATACAGAGACGTGAATTATCTAGCCAATTCTTTTTCGTCTTTACAAACACAGAAATCATTTCCTGGGGATTAATCATTCTTTCAAGTTTAGAAAGTTGAAGGAAAATACTGATGTAGGCTGTATCACCATTACATTAAATGTTTGTGAACATTCAGACTTAAAAAACACATGCATGAATCATACTGTTGGTGATCTCAGCATTGTCTCTGTATAAAAGAAAGGCCACTAGGGGGTAGAGCTAGAAGCCCAGTAGACAAAGAAGGTAAGGGCAGTGAGAATGATGCATCTTGCATTCCTTGTGCTGTTGTGTCTGCCAGTCTGCTCTGCCTATCCTCTGAGTGGGGCAGCAAAAGAGGAGGACTCCAACAAGGATCTTGCCCAGGTAATTAACGGTGGCATCTATTGCAGCTACTGGCCAGCTCAATTGTGTCTACTTGGTCTTCCAATACAAAGCAGAATGATTAGACTAGAGATCACTTTGTTAGAAAACTGTAGCATCAGAGAATAATTAACAGGCTGGAGGTGGAAATTATTTTTATGTTAACAGAGAAGAAAAGAAAGGTTCAGAAAGGGAATATAACTGCTCAAGGTTACAATAAAATAGTAGCAGTATATTTGTGGCTAAGTGAAAAGAACATATGGAGAATATATGAAACTCCTCTGGCTTTAGAATTTATTTAGTTAAAATTATTGGGGAGGGGAGCATGCTAAGTTTGATCTTTAAATCATATCAGGTAATAGTTTTCATATTTTTACTTGTCATATTTGGACAAAAGAGTTTACCACACTTCAGTCTTAAACCAGGTCTATAATAACAATGTAAGTAGAAAAGGTTAGTATTCTAACTTTTCACAAAACTATGTTAAAAGAGGGTTTCTTTAAAAACTAACAAAAATAATGCTAGACTTGAATTTTCAATCCCCAATTCCTTACTTGACTAGCAAACTAACATTGCAATAAAATTTAAAAATTTGTATGAAATGGGGAGTCTTAATGAAAAATCAAATTAAATGTGATAGCCTCTTTTGTTTTAAGAAACTAGAGGAAAATTACGATGGATTATAAAAGTTGGATAAATGATGGAAAATCACAAAAATGCCCTAAAAATTCTATTTTCCATTAGCAATACCTAGAAAAGTACTACAACCTCGAAAAGGATGTGAAACAGTTTAGAAGAAAGGACAGTAATCTCATTGTTAAAAAAATCCAAGGAATGCAGAAGTTCCTTGGGTTGGAGGTGACAGGGAAGCTAGACACTGACACTCTGGAGGTGATGCGCAAGCCCAGGTGTGGAGTTCCTGACGTTGGTCACTTCAGCTCCTTTCCTGGCATGCCGAAGTGGAGGAAAACCCACCTTACATACAGGTAATGGTTCAGATTAGTTTTCACATAATATTGAAACCTTATAAGTTACTCGTCATATTTGGATAAGTAACATAAAGTTTTCTTTAACAATTTTTCATAAAGGCAGGAGAAAATAACATCCTCTTCAATTTTTCTCCTCCAGGATTGTGAATTATACACCAGATTTGCCAAGAGATGCTGTTGATTCTGCCATTGAGAAAGCTCTGAAAGTCTGGGAAGAGGTGACTCCACTCACATTCTCCAGGCTGTATGAAGGAGAGGCTGATATAATGATCTCTTTTGCAGTTAAAGGTAATCAAATAAAGCATCCATTTATCTGGTGTATTCATCTGTTCAGACTGCTATAGCAAGTTACCTTAGACTGGGTAATTTATAAACAACAGAAATTTATTGCTCACAATTCTGGAGGCTGGGAAGTCCAAGATTAAGGTGCCAGCAGATTTAGTGTCTGATGAGAGCCTATTCCTCATAGATGGTACCTTCTGTGTCCTCACACGATAGAAAGGGCCAGGAGGTTCCCTCAAGCTTCTTTCATAAAAGCACTAATCTCATTCATGAGGGCAGAGCACTTACGACATAATCACTTCCTAAAGACCTAACCTCTTAATACTATATTTCATTGGGCATTGAGTTTCAACATATGAATTTGCAGCAGACACCAACATTCAGACTATAGAATCTACTGTTGTTTAATTGGAACAGGGTAAAAAGAAATTCTGAACACTTATATTTCCATTAATTTGTTCCCTATCAGAACATGGAGACTTTTACTCTTTTGATGGCCCAGGACACAGTTTGGCTCATGCCTACCCACCTGGACCTGGGCTTTATGGAGATATTCACTTTGATGATGATGAAAAATGGACAGAAGATGCATCAGGTGGGTCGTAAACCTCTCGGGAACATTTCAGGAATAATGTCCAATCCTACCCAAAAATAATTGGATTATCTAGAACGAGCAATAAATCGAATATACTAGTAACTGAATTTTTTTATTACCTGAGTTTTAAACAGAAGTACTGTTTGTTTCAATCATTATTGAAGAATTTTATAAAATGTCTGTATTTTCATGTTTGCCCCCACCAAGTACAATATTGTAAAAACCATTCAACCTCATCTCCACAACTCAGGATCTTGTGGGGGTTTGAGGATCAGCATAATTAATAATGTTTTTCATCACTTTAATGATAGATGATTAGGATAGAATGAATTCCATTAAACCAGTTCCAATCCTAACATTTGCCCTCAGGTTTTCTTTCTTTCTTCTCATTGGCCTCCTTTTTACTTAAAAGTAGAGATCAGGAGAAAATGCCAGGAACTGAAAAAAAACTGTTAGGTCATCTTTTCGAATAAACATGTCACTGTCTCTAGCTTAGATGGGTTTTTTTCGCCCTAAATTGGCTTGGAAACACTTTACATCTAAACATAATGACTAAAATTAACTGTATGCTATTTAATTTTTAAAATGGCTTCTGAAGTTTAGAAACACACTGTTGAAATAATCACTATTTCTGACAGTGCCTGGGATTTTTAATGTAAATGCAAAGAACATCTTTCCTGAGTACAAGACTCAGGAGGCTGAGGCACGAGAATCACTGAACCCAGGAGATGGAGGCTGCAGTGAGCCGAGATTGTACCACTGTACTCCAGCCTGGGCAACAGAGTGAGACTCTGTCTCACGAGACTGAAGTTTGTGTTGCATGAAATGATTGCCTTTTATTTGAACAACTGTTCTTTTCTGCACAATTCTTGGAGCCTTGGTTAAATAATATCTACTACTAAATTCAATAAAACCCTTTTTATAATATTTTTAAAAAGCTGAATCTAGCTGTGTTTGTGCTGCAGAAAACTGTTATTGGGCATGTTTCTGTTTTAAACTAAAGATTGTACACATCCAATGGCACCTATTACTGGGAAGATTTTTGACAATCAAAAATTATTTGATTATGGCCAGGCACCAGTGGCTAATGCCTGTAATCCCAGCATTTTGGGAGGCCAAGTTGGGTGAATCACTTGAGACCAGGAGTTTGAGACCAGCCTAGCCAACATGGTGAAACCTTATCTCAACAAAAATACAAAAATTAGCCGGGCATGGTAGCACGTGCCTGTAATCACAGCTACTCAGGAGGCTGAGGCACGAGAATCGCTTGGACACATACTCCAGCCTGGGCGACAGAATGAGACTCTGTCTCAAAAAAAAAAATTACTTGAGTATGATGAAGAGGAGGAAGAGAAAATCAGACTAAACCCCACAAGAAATAACCACAGTCTTCTGGCTTAAAAGTTTGAACGTAAATGTTATATGATTAATTTTAACCAAGGTTGCAACTGGCAAGTGTTCCTAAATTTGAACAATGACTTTTTATTTTTAGACAACGAAGAGTTATATTTACTGACATGCTATTAGTCTTGTCCTTTCAAAAAAAAATCTTTTGAAAATAATGCTTCTCATTTGTCAATATAGGAAAAGTGTCTTAGTTTTCCTGACCAAGGAGGGATCTAGGGAGGGATACGGTGAAAAACTGTCTTATATATTGACTTAAAGTCAACCTTGAAAAACACATTAATTTCTATAAAGTATGGAATGTGCCAATCAATGAACCAATCCACAAATACTGAAAAGACATTGTGGTTTCAAGGATGGCCTGTACAGCTGGCATATGTTCTGTATGTGTATTTATGGAAGAAAGAGCTGGTGAATTCTGAACATTTATGATTTTCATACAGGCACCAATTTATTCCTCGTTGCTGCTCATGAACTTGGCCACTCCCTGGGGCTCTTTCACTCAGCCAACACTGAAGCTTTGATGTACCCACTCTACAACTCATTCACAGAGCTCGCCCAGTTCCGCCTTTCGCAAGATGATGTGAATGGCATTCAGTCTCTCTACGGTGAGTGATGCTGGAAAAATTAGGCATTGCAGATCTACAATGACAGTCCTCCAGAAAGCTTTCCAGTGCTACCTAAAGTATTTCTGATTTGGCCTGAAGCACTTTGAGAATGTTTGAAAGGCACACAAATTGACAGATGCATCACATTTTTTTTTAATGTTTGCATCCCCAAATCTGTTTCCTTTAGGACCTCCCCCTGCCTCTACTGAGGAACCCCTGGTGCCCACAAAATCTGTTCCTTCGGGATCTGAGATGCCAGCCAAGTGTGATCCTGCTTTGTCCTTCGATGCCATCAGCACTCTGAGGGGAGAATATCTGTTCTTTAAAGACAGGTCAGACCAGAAAATTATATTTTCCTATCTATTCTTTTGATGTACAGTGCTTAGAAAGAAAAACAGAAACTTGACAGAGCTTTTTTTTTAATTTTAGGTTCAGGGGTACATGTGCAGGTTTGTTATATAGATAAACTCGTGTCACAGGGGTTTGTTGTACAGATAATTTTGTCACCCCAGTACTAATCCTAGTACCCAGTAGTTACTTTTTCTGCTTGACAGAGATTTTTTAAAATATAAAATTTCCTCTACATTTTAAAATCATTCAGATCTAGTTCTTGCTGAATTTTTAACATCTTCTTAGAATTGTCCAGATCATTTTTTACAGACTTATAAGGGATGATTCTTGGTCCCTAGACTGTAAGTTTGATTAAGGCAGGGAGTTATATCTGTTTCGTTCATTTTTTTAAAATATCATATATCATGGAACTTCTTCAGAAAGCACTGGTGGATCCTTAGAAGCAGGGTGGTATCTTTCCATTTACTAATATATGCTACTATTTAAATTAATTACTTTTGGAAAAAAGTGATATGTGCTTGTGGCACAATATTTAAACACTACCAAAAGATACGGAGTTAAAAAATCTCTCTCCAGTCTTTGGCCTACCGTCCTCCAGCTCCCTTCATATGTGCAACCACTGCTACCAATTTCCTTTGACTCTTTACAAAAATGTTCTACTCATATACAAGCATCAATATACACATAATATTTTTTAAAATATTAGGACATAATATGCACACTGTTTATGGACTTTTAGAATGGAACCAAGCTAAATAATTTTACTGGAACCAGTCACAAGTCCTGCCATCGATTTCATTACCCTGGAATCACATGCAGGAGGATGGTTTAATACAGACTTCTATGAATGGGTGAATTAGCATGGATTTAAAAAAAAAGAATTTTTTTTTCACATATCTAAAAGAGAAAGACAATTGCAAGTAATTTTATGTATTACAGATATTTTTGGCGAAGATCCCACTGGAACCCTGAACCTGAATTTCATTTGATTTCTGCATTTTGGCCCTCTCTTCCATCATATTTGGATGCTGCATATGAAGTTAACAGCAGGGACACCGTTTTTATTTTTAAAGGTGAGTACTATATAAGAATTTCAACTTGCTGGAATAAATCCTATTGCAAAAATTTTATTGACATGAGTTTTATCCATTATATTAAAGTTTAGATTACTGAAAGACCTTGTGCTAACACTTAAATAAAATTTGTACAAAGAACATTATAAACTTTATTTTAGAGACCTCTTAAGAAAATAGGTGGCATTCCATATTCATAAAAAATGCAAGATAGTAAAAATGTCAATTTATCTATAGATACAAGACATTTTCATTTCAAATACCAAATGCCAAAAGATTTTTCATGGAACTTGACAAATTAGTTTTACAATTTATATGGCAGAGGAAAGGCCAAGAATAGCCAGGATGCTCCTGGTGAACCCATCTTATTAGATGAGGAGAAAAGCCCTGTGTTATAAAACTTTAATCGGTAAGATGTAGTATCAGTGCAGGGAGAGATAAATTAACTAATGGAGATATTCAGGTATAGAGGCTTCTTTATCAGACTTTTAAACTACTGTTTCAATTTGTTTTATTGGTAATATGCTATTAGAGTTTCTATTACTTCTTGAGTCAGTTTTGTTAACATGTTTTTCTAAAAATTTGCCAATTTTGTCTGTTTTCAAATCCATCAGAAAAAGTTTTTGGAAAATTATTTTGTTGTAATTTGAATTATTGCTGAAGTTTTGTTTTCTTTTTCATTCTTAATACTGAATCCTTTTGCCTTTCTCTTTTTTCTTCATCAATCTCATAATATATGTAATAATTTTACTGATCTTTTCAAAGGACTGACTTTTGGCTTTATTTACTCTCTATATTATATTTTGATTTCCCGTTTAATTAGTTTCTGTTCATATCTTTATTGTTGCCTTAATTTTTGTTTACTTTGAATTGATCCTGTTATTATTGTTATAGCTTAAGTTTGATACTTACCTTATTAACTTGTAACTTTTTTCTTTTCTAATACAAGCATTTATACCTATAAATAACCATTTCTTCTGTTTCATCCAGCAAATTTCGATATGCAGTATTTTCATTTTGTTCAATTTTAATTCTTTAATTTCTCATTTTTATTTTTTCCCTAGACTCATAGGTGATAATGGAATATTTTTAAATGTCAAGCTTTATGGAGATTTTAAAAATATTTATTTCTGGCAATCTCACTTATGTGAAGATCAAATGAATGTGAAATTGCAGTAGAAATTGTAAAGGATTACATAACTCTAACGTATTGTTATCAAGTAATGTATCTCACATTTACATATCACTTGCACTGTGTCAGACGCCATTCTCATTGGTGGAGGTCAGGACTGAAAAGGGCTCATATTCTAGAAGGGGCAGCAGAGATGAAGCCTTTGGCAGCCTACATATGACAAGTGCTGGGACTGAGAGAAGGAAGGGTGCCATGGGAGCACCTGACTCATACCCAGGACTCAGCAAAGATCCCTTAGGGGAGGTGATGTTAGGATGGGTCTTAAAGTTCTCTATTGTTGTGCAGAGATGGGCTGGGTGTACAGAAAGTAGAAAGGTCTTTAAGAAAGAAGAAATTGTTTTTACCAAGTAAGAGCATATCTGGAACTGCTCAGACAGATACAAGTCATTCGGTTCAGACGAAGCAAGAGAGATAAACAACAGATGGACATTTTAGATTAGTGAATCTGGCAGTGAGTGCGAAGAAGGAATTCAGGCTTGGGGTCTGGGAGAGTGATGTAACAAAGTAAATGCAGAGAGATTGATGGGATTTTATTGTCCTAACTCACTAGAATTTGAATGAATTCCGATAGTGTTCACAAGAAGCACAGATTGGAATTGGTGACTGTGAAATATCTCAAAGGAAGTGTCCAATAAGCAACTGATCTATTGGTATGAAACTTAAGAGAGAGAGGTCTAGGTGAGAAATTCAGGTTAAAAGTTTACCAACAATTATAAGAAATAACTAAAACTGATCTATAAATAAACTATAACATATAGATACAAATATATAAGACACAGAAAGGGCAGTGAATCAGAGTTATCTACTCATTTATTCATTCATTCATTCACTCGCTCATTCAGGGAGTATTTATTAAGGACTGGCTGTGAACTGGACATTATTAGGTTGGAATTAAAACCAAGCCTTCCTCTTTACCACAACAATGCACTATAATTATTTTTAAAATCAATGGCTTCAAGTAAAATGTCTTGGATTTATTTTTTCAATAGGAAATGAGTTCTGGGCCATCAGAGGAAATGAGGTACAAGCAGGTTATCCAAGAGGCATCCATACCCTGGGTTTTCCTCCAACCATAAGGAAAATTGATGCAGCTGTTTCTGACAAGGAAAAGAAGAAAACATACTTCTTTGCAGCGGACAAATACTGGAGGTGAGATGCAAGAGAAATGACTTTCTATGAAGCCTGATTAAGAAAATTATTTTCTTTCTTTAAGGATATTTCCCTACCCTACACCCACCCTCTAACTTTCTCTAACTTCAAAATTTATGATTATGAGGAAGACAGCTTATTGTTCTACCTTCCGGATACAAAGGCCTCTCAGAATGGTGATCACTGGGCCATATACTCAGACACTAAAAGACATCAGGAGAGGCCAGCTGAGGTCCAAAGGCATTCACCTCTTATTCCATTTCCAGTCACCATGTGGCTGCCATAGGAAGCCCAGGTGTGGCAGGCTTTGGAGACAGGATCTACAGGGTCCCAGTGTGACTGAGAACCAGAGGTTTATTTTTAGCTAAGTGATTTAATTAATTTTGCATTATGAATTCATTATGTCTACACAGTCTTTATGTATTTATAGTAGACACAGGGAAATTTGGTTTCTGTGTGTCCAGGCTTAGAAAATTTACCTCAGACATATGTATGGAACCTCTGTAAAATGGCATAATGTTCCTGTTTCTGGAAAATATTGTTTTATGTGTTAAACTTGTAAGCCCAGGAAAGTAACCTATTCTTGTAGCTCTAAAAATGTTTAACACTTTTTTACACAACTTAAAAAGTTTGTCTAGGATTCCACACTGGAAAATTAACATCACATTATACTATTGTGTGTAATGGGACTACTGCACATCATTGAACTGTATTTCTTTCATTTGGTTTAGATTTGATGAAAATAGCCAGTCCATGGAGCAAGGCTTCCCTAGACTAATAGCTGATGACTTTCCAGGAGTTGAGCCTAAGGTTGATGCTGTATTACAGGCATTTGGTAAGAAGACCCTTATTTCATTGTCATGCAGGAATCTCCAGGCATTTTTATGATTTCAAAATAAAGTGCAGAATCAAAACAGTTTTTAAATCATTCAGTCTGATATCTTTTTTACTCCAAATTCCTGAAAATCTTAACTTTCCAATTTATGCAAAGTGGGTTTAAATTTGTGTGTGTGTGTGTGTGTGTGTGTGTGTGTTTTCCTGAATAACTTCCTAGTCTCTGTTTCATATCCGCACATAAAATCAAAGGATACTTCCTCACACAGAAGCCATTATCTTTCAGGTCACTATGTTGGTATAAAAATACAATCTGTGTGAGCCAGGCTTACTGATGGCTGGTTGTCATTCTACTCTATCCCATCCTGTTGTCCCTTTTCTTCTATCCCACCCCAGGGGAGCCTTGTCTGGGCTTCTGTTGCAGTCTGCGATTGCCTGCATTAGTCATTTGTAAATAAAATACTAGTCCTCCCATATGCTCAAAATAGGTCAAATGTGATTCCTGGTAATGGGCAAATAGGAAAGCAAAACTTGTTCTTGATTACTCTGAAGGAATTTTGGAGGGAGCTGCCAGTGCTTGACAATCCAATGGTCATGAGGCTGATGATCTTGTTACTAAAATGACTTAACCATGATGGATGCAAAGCAGGAAATGGACCTCTGGCTCATTTATCATTTGTCTGATTCTCTTGGGTCTAGTTGTCTCCCAAACTGTAATTTAGAACCTAGCAGAAGAGGGGAGGTTGGAAAGAAAGTAAAACAAGGTTTTAAAATATTATAGAATTTTATCTCTTTAGAACCAGTATGACGTAATGTTTTAGAGCACTTCCTTTGGAGTCAGATGAGATGGAGTCCTCCCTCCTTCCTTCCTTACAGATGCTACCTTGTTAAAATTACAAAACCGTCTTAATTTTTAGTTTTGTTCTCATTAATAACACATCACAGTTTTTTGTAAGGGTAATTGAGATAAAGCATGTAAAGCACTTAGCTCAGTGCTTGGCATAGAGTAATCACTTAATAAATGCCCTCCATTATTAACTTGTACTTAATCTAAGTTATATGTGTTGCAAAATGACATATTTGAAGATGTCTCATCATTTTCCTTATCTATATTTACAGGATTTTTCTACTTCTTCAGTGGATCATCACAGTTTGAGTTTGACCCCAATGCCAGGATGGTGACACACATATTAAAGAGTAACAGCTGGTTACATTGCTAGGCGAGATAGGGGGAAGACAGATATGGGTGTTTTTAATAAATCTAATAATTATTCATCTAATGTATTATGAGCCAAAATGGTTAATTTTTCCTGCATGTTCTGTGACTGAAGAAGATGAGCCTTGCAGATATCTGCATGTGTCATGAAGAATGTTTCTGGAATTCTTCACTTGCTTTTGAATTGCACTGAACAGAATTAAGAAATACTCATGTGCAATAGGTGAGAGAATGTATTTTCATAGATGTGTTATTACTTCCTCAATAAAAAGTTTTATTTTGGGCCTGTTCCTTACTTTCTAGAACAATTCATGTTCAATACCCTGATCATACTGGGGACTGATTATTTGACAGATAGTCTGCCAGTAGGTGTGGTAGGAACACACACTCTATAAATTAGTCATGTGGCTGTCACATACCCTCTCCTATTCTCTGCACCAACAGGATCTTTCTTTTCATCTCACAGATATTGTAAGTGTTCCTTACACACCTAACAAAGAAAGAGGTAAATCAACAGTTGTCCTGTATCTAGGCAGGATCAAAACAAAATGGAGAAATGGAACTCTAGAATGTTAGAGCCTGGGAACCTGCATATTATTTAATAGACTTTCCAATTTTACAGGTGGGGAAATAAAACTAGTTTGGAGTCCACTCACCTCTTGTTTTAACCCAAATCTTTCTTCAGTGGGATTCCTTTCTTGCTCTAGAGACTAAATTTCTCATCTCCCCCTCACCCTCACCCTCCTGTTAGAATACTCTCTTGCTACCATTTTGTACATGGAAACCCCTGAGTGATAACAGTGCATGTGCACATGCCAATTTTGTGACAGATTTACCATCACGAAGTTACATGCTTACACCATACTGACAACACTATAGAAACTTGTTCCTTCTTTTATTGACTAATTTTAATGCCAGACTTTGTCATAGTTGCAAAGTATGAAACAGTGAAGAAAATACATTTAACTCAATTTCATTGAGTTTTGTCTGGTGAGAGAAAGAAATCAAATGAAAGAACATAAATTAATGTATAACTACAAATTATAAAGCTGTTATTAGAGAAACGACAAAGCTGTAAAGAAGAGTACTGTTGGAGGAAGGGTTATCTGTTAAAGTTTGGTTATTAGAGAAAGTCTCTCTGGGAAAATAATGTTAAAAACAAAGCATCTAAATCCAAATGGCCAGGTGGGTGAATGGGTAGGAGGATTTAGACTACTCTAAGGAAAGAAAATGCAAATTAGTGTTGAGGCCCAGTGGGTTTAAAAAAATAAAAGTCCTTGGCATGTTCAAGGAACTGAAAGATGAGTGCCTATTGGCATGTTGGAGAGTAGGGGTGGAATAAGATATTAGACAGGTAGACACAATCAAATCATCCAATGTCTTTACAGTATACTAAAGAGTTGTATTTCACTTTTAGTGCATTGTAGATTCATCGAGTGAGTCTTAAACAGATAAGTTATGCCAGCCATTATATTTTTGAATGATTACTTTAGCTGGAGAGAGTTGGAAGGAAGTGACGACAAAAGTTGGAACAGGTTAAAAATGACAGGGAAGGGTGGTAGGGACAGGGGACCTCTGGGTAGATTGAGAGACATGACTGGATTTTTTTTATTTTTATTTTTATTTTATTTTTGGCCCTGTCACCCAGGCTGGAGTGCAGTGGTGCAACAACCACAGCTCACTGAAGCCTTGATCTCCCGGGCTTAGGAAATCCTCCCACCTCAGCCTCCTGAGTAGCTGGGACTGCAGGTGTGCACCACCACTCCCAACTAATTTTTGTACTTTTGGTAGAGACAGGCTTTTGCCATGTTGCCCAGGATGATTGGGAACTCCAGGGCTCAAGCAATCCATCTACCTCAACCTCCCAATGTGCTGGGACTACAGGTTGAGCCACCATACCCAGCCCTGATATATATTTCAACATCATTCAGATTTCATGATAAACTAGATAGAGTTCTGAGAAAAAAGGAAGGTATTAAGAATAATTCCTAGATTACCGGCTTGAACAAATTCTTGGATCACAGCAGCTTCAACAGAGTCAGGGGAAGGCTGAAAGAGAAGCAGTTTTGTGGGAGAAAGTTAAGATTCAGTAGGAATCACCTCACCTTTTAAATATAGAAATTCTTGTAAGTTAACCAACTAAAGGCATTAGTAGGCCATTAGATGGAGGAATCTGGAGCTCAAAACAAAGTAGATAAAACTGTGGGTGTTTGGCGGCATCAGTCAAGCCATGGGAATAGGTAAGTTTATATGGGAAGATTGCAGAGATAAAAGAAGATGGTTCAGGACTGAACCTTGTAAAATGCAGTATCACTCAGACCAGGCCAGGATATGCTGTGGTAATGAGCACTTCCCGATTTTCAGTGGCTTAGAACTAAAAGTGCATCGTAGTACTCCACTGGGGTCTCTACTCCAAGTTGTCCTCACTTCAAGACCCGGGCTGATGGAACGGGCACCACGTTGAACGCCAGCCTTCACTGCGGCGGAGGGAAAGAGTTATTGGTAAATTTCGCGCTGACTCCTAGAAGTCTGTGTGGATACAATAAACATCATTCTGCCCATACTTCATTGGCCAAAGAAAATTACATTGCCTCATCTGACACTAAAGATAGTCAAATAATATACTGTCACACGCCTAGGAGGAGAATCAGAAATATTTAATAGAGAACACTAATCATAAACACAAAGGGCTTCCTCACAAAAACAAAAAAAAAGTAACATGTGTACCCGGGTTGCCGCCGAGGCTCGCGCCTGCGCAGTGAGCATCCCGCCCTTCGGCTGCTGGGAGCCTCCCAGAGCCCAGGAGCGGCAGGGACCAGACGCTGGCTTTGGGGCTGCCCAACAGCCCAGCGGCTAACGACACCCGCGACGGGGGACAGGTTGATTTGGTTAAACAACTCCACTACCCATTGATTTTCTCAAAGATATTTTGCGAAGACGTCCAGGAGGACAGATTCTTAAGGCCTTTTTAATGGACATTTGGAACAGGCAGAGGCAGACACTGCCTTCTAGATGCGGTTTTAAAGCAGCTACGGTGAATGATGGGGTCAGATCTCCGGGTGTACAACACGGTTTTCAGCCCGGACGACTGGCGCGGCATTCAGAAATGGCAAGAAGTAAGACAAAGTATGAGCCTTTGAAGGTTGGAAGATTTGGAATTGAGTTTAAGTCTGGCTACCATAGAGATGTTCCTTGTATCTTTAGTGGTGACTGGATTGGGATGTTCGAGCCTCATCAAACACTTTTTGGCCCACATGAGTGAGACCAGTGTTGGAATGTCAAAGATGACAGCATTTAAATTCGTGAACTTTTGGACCAATTTCTGCCATTTGCTGGCATTTTTGGAAGCACCAAGGAAACATTCATAAATCTCAATTTTCCAGAAACATTTTTTCCTTTTCCTTTTCGCCTGCATCCTCGACAGCTTAGTAGTAAACACTACAGTAAGCAGAAGGTTCTCCAGCTCTCCGTCTTTTAGGGCAGATGTAGACCCAGTGCTGCTCTTTCTAAAAAGTGTGCAGGACGTCTCCTTATAATGTCCGAGAGGCTGGTGGAATGGAGAAACCGGTATTTAGAGTGACTTCAAGGGCACTCTATTTAGACGGCACTGAAACGTGAACGTCTGAATTCTATAAAGATCCTGGGAACTGCACTAAGTAACAATTGTGAAAGGACTCCAAGCAATGGCATCAACTGTATAACATACCATGCTGGTATTAGAGCCTCTCTTCAGTGAGTTGTCCCAGATTGCAGGGATTTATGCAGTTAGCCATGATTGGGTCAGTTTTAGAAGACAAGAGTACTGAAGATGTACAAAAGCCATCTTGGTTGGTGTGTAATGGTGTGGGTGGCCAAGGGATTTGCAGTAATCTTCAGTCTTTAGTGGATGGATTGAAATTTGTCCCAATCATTGGAATAGCCATGTCTTTGTCAAGCAAAGATGGTGAAGCAAAAGGAGCAATGTCAGATGTCTCAGGAATAGCATTTTGTTTTCTTTACTGCAGGGTGGGGAAAGCAGAACAGGCCTCCCAGTTCACATCAGTGGGTTCTTTGGCCTCACCGACAACATCAGGAACATAAAATAAAGAGATGTGGGCAAGTGGAGAGACCTGGCAGCTTTCTGGAGTGAATTTGTTTTCATGACTGTTGTCCCTAAAGTTCATGCTACTTTGATCTTAGATTCACCAAAACTTCTGGAGTTTTGTTACAGAAAAAAAAAGTAACATTCCTATATTTTCAGTATTTTACATTAGATTTTTGACAGAGAAATATGTACAAATGACCCAAAATCCAAAGAGAAGGAAATACCACTTTCATTAGTAAAAAGTTTTTCTCCCTCTCATCTCATCTCAGCCAACCAGTCTTTTCCAGAGGTAAACAATGCTACTAATTTCTTATGAATCCTTTAATCTACTTTATGCATTAATAAGCATGTCTATTAAGCCTTTACTTTCTAACCCAAAGGGTGGGATACTTTATATCCTATTCCACAGTTCATTTTTTCTCACTTAATATATCTTGGAGACTGCTCTGTATCAGTGACAAAGAGCTGCATTATTCTAATTAATAGCTACATAGTAACCCAATATACGAATTCATCATTTATTTAACAATCCCTTATTAGGGCAAATTTGGGTTTGTTTTCGATATTTACTTTTCAAAAGAAATAATGTAATAAACCTTTTACATATGTTACTTCACAAAGAAATACTGTAATTAATAACCTTTTACACATGTTACTTCACAAATGTGGAGTGAATCCGTTAAAAAACTATCTTGCTTAAGGGCTAGGTAGAGGAAGAACTGGAAAAGCAATTCATTGATTCCACACTGCTATTGTTGGGATCATCCATGACTGGCTTAAACTCCTGGAGGTGGGGCTGTGCTTAATCTCACCCTAATCATGTTGATCAGTGGGCGAAGAAAGAATTGGCATCAATATTTTCCACCAAGAACTGTGAGATGAGAAAGTAGAAACAGTATGCCGAGGCAATCTAGGTAAAATGTTGGCAAAGAAAGTACTTATAGGAAATATTTTCTCTTGTGTTTACAGATTTCATTAATGGTTCCAGTGAATGCCTTTATTTGGGGGAGGGTAAGGAAAAAAAGGAACTTCAATTTATAGACACTGTAAAGGGTGCTAGATGTGTGCAGTTCTTTCGGTCCTCATGTTAACCATGGCAAACAGTAATGTCTTTAGATTATAGACTTTTAGGCTTAGAAGGATGAATTTTCTCATGATGAGCAACTAGTAAGCAGCAGCACTGAAATTCCACTCCAGAACAGACTTAGAATCTGTATAGGAAACTCACTGTTTTCTTCTCTGTACTCACAACACTTCTGACACCAGATATGTGGGGGTTTTTTTCACTCCAACCAATTCTTTAACTTTCCCAACACTGGGTGTCATGTAATTCAATTATCACACTAAATACCTGAAGTTAGTGTAGACCCCACAGGTTAAGGACACAATCCCATAAGACCACTCTGCTTACTTCCAGTGCTAATCACATGTCTGGGCCTCCTGGACGTCCCGCAGACCAGCTATAAATGAGAGCTTTCTACAAACCACTCCTCATGGTCAATAATTTGCTAGAACAGGTTGTAAAACTCAGGGAAACATTTAGTTAAATTTATTGGGCTGAAAACTCCAAGCTTCTAATCATGGTTTGGTCTTTCTGATGACCAGCCTCCTTCCAAGAGTCCCCTCATTAGAACAAAAGATGTTCTCATCACCCAGGAAATTCTAAATGATTAGGGGCTCTGTGTCAAGAACCAGGGTCGAAGACCAAATATTGGAACAAAAGATATGCCTACCACCCCTATCTATAAGGGTATTAAGAGCTCTGTCTCAGAAACAAGGGCAGAGAGCAAACATTAGAACAAAAGTTTCTCCTAGAACTCCTATTACTCAGAAAATTCCAATGGGTTAGGAGCTCTGTCAGGAACTAGAGCAGAAACCAACATATGTATTTCTTATGATTTCAAAGACCCCTACATTAAGACAAGAGCAGCGCTAATGGCAAATTCATTAGGATTCCCAGAAAGAGATAAGATGAATATTTCAATGCTTCCTACCTCTGAACAGTTTTTGTTCAGAAAATTGGGAGGATGCACTAATGGCAAATTCATTAGGATTCCCAGAAAGAGATAAGGTGAATGTTTCAATGCTTCCTACCTCCAAACAGGTTTTGTTCAGAAAATTGGGAGTATGCCTGCACCTTCAGGAAGGGAACAAGTGACTTCAGATTTGCAGAGATTGAGAGGGATGCTGACAACAGGCTGGGAGTTACCAATAAGTAGCCACAGAATGGTGGTAACCAGACAGAAAAGAAAGTAAGTGAATATAACCTGAATGAGCTTGGAAGCATGTTTTTTCCCCAATCAGTCCTCCAGATGATAATGCAACCTAGCCAATACCTCGAGAACCTATGAAGAGGACCCAGCTAAGCTATACCCAGACTCATGACCCACAGAAACTGAAATAATAAATGTGTGTTGTTTTAAAATTAGTGGTTATTTTCTACTCAGCAATAGATACCTAATATGTTGAGTGATTGCCTTATTTGGAGCCACAGCCACATAGCAATTAATCCAGATGATTCAGGCCAAAATCCATTTCTGCTACAGAAAGTCTGGAGGCAGAAATATCCCACCCCCTTTTGGAGCTCAAAACCAGCAATGATACCCCTGACATAGAGAGACAAATGACTGTGTCTAGGGTGGGCTTTAAGGCAAAATTTTAAAGTGGAAATAAATAGCCATTAATGCTCTCACTTTATTTGGCGTATCTTTCTCTTATCTTTCTGTATTTTACCCACCTCTTTTTCCAGGCACCAAGCAGCACTAGAACACAGAATTTGCAGTCATTAATAAAATATGCATGATAACAAGTTTAGAGTGTGTGAGTTATAAATGTTCCTTTCTTGCTATTGACTAGCATTAGGACACACGGTAAATATGCATGTTTTAAGAGACAGAGAAGTAGTAGAGTTAGAGCAAAACACACACACAGAAAGACAGACAGGCAGACAACAGAGACAGAGAGGAGAGAAAGGGTGACACGATGGTGATAAGACAAGTGTAGGGAGGAATACGTGAACTGTATTTGAATTGCAGGAAGATGATTCAGGTATGAGAAGACCAAGAAGCAAAAATCTGTGAATCAGTGGAGGGAGGAGGAGCAAAGGGAGTGAAGAAGGAAAGGGTTAAGATGATATAATGTAGGACTGCATTAGGAAATTCCACTGGGACCAGCCACCTAAGGGGAAGTCTTGAGATCAGGGAGGGGAGAGAAACCTGGAGAGCAGTTTCATGCTAAGCCTTGGGGTGTAGCAAACAACCTTGCAGGTGGGCCTTCATGCCTCAAGGACCAGGAGCAGAGAGAGTTCAAGCTGGTCCACCTAACCACTCTCTATCTAAGTGGGGAAGGGGGTGCTTGCATGAAGTGGGTTTTGGGAGGTTGAATTGCTGTTCTACCTCCTCCACTCCATCATTCATTGATTCATTCACTCATTTAACAGATACCCACTGAATGTCTACTGTATAGTAGGCAACATATGGGGCACAGAGTTTCACAAACATGGCCACACTCTTACAGAGCGTATATTCTCCAGAGGGAGATGGAGAAGTTAACAGTCTATGTGATATACTACCAAGCGTGATGGCCATAATGGGGGAAGCACACAGAGCTGTGGGATCACCAAGGAGGGGCTCTGCCCCCAATGCTGAGAGATTAGGGAGGCTTCCAAGAGGACTAGGCATCTATATGGAGAGCCAAAGGGCAAGAACTTAAGAGGTAAGAAGAAGGGAGGTGGTCCAGACAGAGAGAGATCAGAGTACTGGAGAGTGTCGATTACTTCTCTGGCCCAAAGCATTGCTTCTCAAGCCATCCGTAGTGAAGGACCAGTTCCTTACATTTCCAGTTCACCATGGATACTTTTGTAAAATACAGCGAAAGGGAATTACTATGAAAATGAGATGACAAAGACATTTTTAAATGTTCAGTTTTTAAATTATTAGACTAGATCCAATAGACATAAAACTACTTTATCAAATTGTTGTAAAAGCATGATTGATTGCTGAGCTTATCACACACCAATTACAGTTCATGAATCATCCCTGATTCACAGGCCACACTTTAAGGAGCACTTGCCTATAGCATACAGGAAAAAGAGAAAAATTACAGTCTAGAGGATTCTGGATGAAACAGACAAGGAAAAGAAGAATCAGTGAGCTGTTACCAGAAGCTCTTTCTGGGTGTAGGTCCATTCAGACTGCAGAAACCTGTGGTGAGAGAGTCATCATGCATCCGTCTGAATTGCAACCATTGAATTCTCACCACACCCAGTGTCTAACATTAGTTAATTTGGTGGAAAGTGGGACACAATCAGCGAAACAGAGGGTTTTAGAGGAAGCTGAAGAAGGAATTAGGGATAATCAACTTCCCCTTCCCACTCCAGCTTCAAAGCTTTTGTTAGTTTCTAAGAATCCTCTGACTCTGTAAAATAGACACCCCTTCCAATTCAATGGTTTCTGGTTAAAAGGGGAGGGGGGAGAAACAACAACAACAAAAAATGATAATAATAAAAAACAAGCAACCAAGCAAATAAACAACAAAAAAAACTTCCACAACTGCAAAAGCTTTCCCACACATCCATCTGCGTCTGCTTGCCTGGCTACCGCCTTGTTTCTCATTCTGGCTTCTGGCTGCAGAAGTTTTCTTTGCTGAGATGCACTCTCTGGCCCTCCTGAGCTGTGTTGCACATACCTCTTGTACATTCCCAAAATACTCTCCAATCACAGCACTTACCACTCTTTATTTAACTGTCCCCTCAAATTCATCCTACATTGGACTGTGACTTCCTGCGGTTATATTCCACTGCAATTCAGAGAATGGTACATGGTAGCTACTCCGTAAATCACTGTTTGTTAAATGAAAGCATGCATAACTCCCTTGAACTAGGAAGAAAGTAATGTCAATTTTAGAATGTGAAGAATGACAGGCATCTGGAGATGTCTGGAGAGGAAGGGCATTCCAAGGGAAGCAAGCTGCATGCACAATGGCATAGAGATATTAAAAGACATGTTTGAGGAATCTCAAGGGAACATCTGAGAGAGTCAAAGAAAGGGAGTCACATTAATTTATGTTTTAGAGAAAATATATGAAGCATCAGCTTTCTAACATGTGATTGAGTATAAAATTAATGAAACATTTCAGTAAATGAAACAGTAAAATTTCTCCCAAAGTTTGTAACTCATTGTTTTTCATTTAGTCACTCATTTAGCACATTTGCTCATTTAATAATCATTCCATTGCATCCATCAAATCTGTTTTTGAAGTAGGAAACATAAATAAGAAATAAATTGCCCACTCACTTAGCTAAGTAACACACGTTACCACTATATGTGTAGTATATTTTCTCAGCAGCAATAAAATAGGAAAGAAAAATTACTTCATCAGTTAAACAAGCATGCACTAAAAAAATGCCCTGGTTTCTTTCTCTCTCTCTCTCTCTTTTTTTTTTTTTTTTTTTTTTTTTGAGACTGAGTCTCACTCTGTCACCCAGGCTAGAATGCAGTGGCACGATCTCAGCTCACTGCAACCTCCACCTCCCAGGTTCAAGCGATTCTCATGCCTCAGCTTTCTGAGTAGCTGGCCCACCACCATGCACAGCTAATTTTTTTTTTTATTTTTTCTTTTAGTAGAGATGGGGTTTCACCATGTTGGCCAGGCTGGTCTCGAACTCCTGGCCTCAAGCGATCCTCCCACCTAGGCCACCCAAAGTGCTGGGATTACAGGCGAGAGCCACTGCTCCCAGCCTGCTTGGTTTCTTAAGGATTAAATCAAAGGAGGTAGTTGAAGATATATACAACCTTCTTAATCCCTGCAAAGTCAGTAGGAAATCCAACCCTTTAATTTCTTCCCTAGAACAAAGACATGGTGAATCATAGACCTACTTATATTTAGAAGCAGATTTATAATTATACATACTAGTAAGACCTTCCCAATCAAATTAATGGAATGTCACTGGATCACCATTAGCTACAACTAAAAGGTGACAAAAGCATGATAAGTGAATTTAGAGCGTAAGTTATCTAGCTTGGAAATTTGCCACCTCCACAATTGTTCTTAAAATCGTATTTGGCTCACAGATATGATGATGGCGATGATAACAATGATGATTATACAATGATGCAATACCTAGTAACACAGCTGCTTCTTGAGCAATGCTCCCAAATCTCTAAAGCAGATGATTCAACTTGGTTTATTGTGGAGATTCAGCAGATATTACTTGTTTTTTCCTTGCTTTATTTAACTGCACAGCAACAATTTCCTCAAGAGTCATTTCCTGTGGTAAGTTTAAATCCCCTTAAAATGAACTAACCCTGTCCCTTGAATCATAGTCACATTGTTTTGCTTTCTAAGAAATAAAACAACTGAGAATTTCAAGATCTCAGTTTCCTCATTTGCAATGGAAGGGGGTTTAATTAGGTTTTGTGATTTGTTTGTTTGTTTTACTGTTACAGAGCAGTGGTCCATATTTTGGGGGTATATGTGATATTTTGACACATGGATACAATGTGTAATGTTTATTATACCAGGGCAATTGGGATATTCATCACTCCAAACATTCACCCCTTCTTTATGTTGTGAACATTCTAATTCTTCTCTTCTAGCTATTTTGAACTATACCACAAATTATTGTCAATCATAGTCATCCTACTGTACTATCAAAAACTAGATCTTATTCCTTCTAACTGTATCTTTACAACAATTATAATTAGAGTTTTTTTTTTTTTTTTGAGACCAAGTCTCGCTCTGTCACCCAGGCTGGAGTGCAGTGGCTCCATCTTGGCTCACTGCCAGCTCTGCCTCCCGGGTTCACGCCGTTCTCCTGCCTCAGCCTCCCGAGTAGCTGGGACTACATGTGCCCACCACCATGCCTGGCTAATTTTTTTTTTTTTTTTTAGTAGAGACAGGGTTTCACTGTATTAGCCAGGATGGTCTTGATCTGACCTCGTGATCCACCCGCCTCAGCCTCCCAAAGTGCTGGGATTACAGGTGTAAGCCACCATGCCTGGCCATAATTAGAGATTTTTAAAGGTATCTTTTAACTCTAAGAAAAAAACAGCAATCATGAAATACTCTGTAACAAACACCAAAGTAGATATATGTTATATATATAATTTTGTTTAATTCTTCTGAAAACCATTTTGGGATTGGGGGGAATTTTATTACTATTATTATAATTTTCTAGTCAAGAGAACAGAACTAACTTTAGTCTTCATACCCAGTTAGAAGTAGGGTTGGATTTCCAGTCTCTACCTGCTAAATCTCTATCTACCTCATACCCAAAATCATACCTTCAAGTTCTGTCTCCCATTCAACATTCCATAAGACCATGATTATACAGTTTTTAAGAATTTTCAGGGTAGCAATTTAGAATGCCAGCCATTTGGAGTTTGCAACATGCTGTTTTATATTTTTAATAGCTTTCTTTATATTCTTTCTTTTAGAGCAAGAAGTCTCTGTTCTCCAACCAGTGACCCAAACATTACCTTGTGTACAATAGCGATGCGTGTATAGACCTCCAACACATGATGGATAAGAACACATTCTCCCCTCTCACACACCAAGGACATGGGCTGCATTTCTCTGAGTATCTCTGTTTACCTTTTATTCCATATAATACCTGATCACAGTGTAAGTTTTTGATGTCAGGGAAATAATGATTACTGTTGTATTAGTGCAATTTATAAAACACATGTCTATAACAGTATATCTCTACCCTATAAAAAAAATTTCATACATAAAGGAAGACAAATAGTCAAGCATAAGGCAAAATATGAGAAGTCCTTTAAGAAAGCTACAAAATACCACAGAATTCCAATAAGTTAAACAATATGATGTTTGACAGAAAACAAAATCTAATCCATGTTAGATTCATTGACATGAAATGAAATTCTTAGTGTAGTAGGCTTAGACTTGGAAATAGAAAGCAACAGCTCTAATTCTAGTGCTCTTCACTAGATGCATGATCTGGAACAAGTGATGGAAGGCCCATGTCTCTAAGTTTTCTCATTTGACAAGTAAGAGGTTTCTATTAGATTGGTGATTTTTAAACTTGCTGCATTCTTCCATGGTATTTGGGGGTTATGTTAGAGGGGACAAAGAGAGAGGTAGTAGGATGAAGGTGAGTCTCTAGAGTTCAGTGCTTCTACTTTAAGCACTACTATCATGCTTTGCTTTTTTATCTGTTTGCAAATTTGATCTGTTTGCTGGACATACACACAGATTGCTCTTTCAGTAAAGCATTCAGTATTATGACATAATTGTTGTCAAGCACTATACTGAATAACCACCAGATTTCTTATTGTATGAGTCTTCATGAAGATGACATCATGTGTAATTTGTTGCTCAATCCCAGTTATCACAATGGTGGTTTCCTCAGTTTTTCAGGAGTTCCCCTTTCCTGTTTCTGAGGCTACTGAGTGAACTAGGGGATTCCTGGCAGGAAGCACCAGGAGCACTGAGGGGATGGCTTCTCCACAGCTAGTGTATGCACCCTATGGTGGTCGGGGAGTTCCAGCCTCATTTTGGCTGGGAAAAGATGACCTATATTCCATTTGTCCTAGAAAATGCCTCCTTTTCTTATTTCCCTTGCCTCTGCAGGCATCAGAAGTCCTGTGGGAAAGAGAGAATTTGGGTTTTCCTGAGAAATTCATTCACTTCCCCTTTTCTGTTTGCATTAGTGTGATACTCCATTTAGATGGGGAAGTTGTGGTTAAAAATTAAATTGAGAGAGGAGAATGTGTTCTTATCCATCATGTGTTGGAAGTTTGTACACACATCTCTATCGTACATAAGGTCACTGTCTTCTGTGTAATTGCAGCACTTTGTATGAATCTCTTACAGCACAAATTAAAGGTACCATGCATGAATAATCTGCTGGCCTATTTTTCCTTTCTCCAGCCTAAGTGACTGGAAATATTAAGAAAATATTTGTTGAATGGAGGAAGACATATATGAATGGATAAATACAGCCTAGTCCCCTGGATTAAATGTGTTCAAGCATTCATGGAGAAAGTATTACTAAATGTAGTAAAGAAAAAAATCTGGCTACTCTACTGAAGAGGAGGAAGCTCTGAGACTTCATGAAGAGAGAGAGAGGGAGACCCTGGTATCCCTGCTGATCCCAGCCTTCCAATCTTCTCCACCAAAGCACCAGACCTGTGATGAAGCCAGAACATCTTGGGTGTTCTAGCCCCAGTCACGATCTGACTGCCGCCAAAAAAGATATTCCAAACAACCAAATTGTTCAGCTGAGATCCAGTAATAGAATCCTGTTAATTATTATTGTTTTGAGACACTAAATCTGCAGTGGTTTGTTATAAGCTAAATATACACAGGAGAGGCAACCAAGTAAGCAAAGAACAAATAATATCCCACAAGGTAGAAGGCTAAGCAGGGTCGATACGATGCGTAGAATCTACATGGAAGACCTTTCCCACCACTTCCGGGAAAATGAAATGAAGCTCATCCTTAACAGAAAGAACGGCAGAGATCTTTATTATGGCACTCACACACACACAGAAAAAACATAATGGAAAAAAAACCAATTGGGTCACTTAGGGCAACAGAATTCATTTTTCCTGCAGATATATTAGTATCAGTTACCACTTGCAGATAGTCAAAAAGAGGGAAAATCCTGGCCAACATGGTGAAACCCCATCTCTACTAAAAATACAAAAATTAGCTGGGCATGGTGGTACGCAGCTGTAGTCCCAGCTACTCGGGAGGCTGAGGCAGGAGAATCGCTTAAACCCAGGAGGTGGAGGTTGCAATGAGCCAAGATCACACCACTGCACTCCAGCCTGACCACAGAGCAAGACTCTGCCTCAAAAAAAAAGAGGGAAAAGAAAACTTAGAGTAATATCAAAAGGAAGTCTCTTGGGGGCACCAGAACAAAGACTCATCTCCACACCTTCTTCTTTGAGATACCTGCTGCTAAATTACTGGATGCGTATGTTTCATCTTCCACATAGATGATGTCAAGATGACAGCAGAGGCCATGTTCTTGTGTGGGGCATAGCTGCTTTAATCATTTGCAATGCCTAGTACAGTGTTCTGTAAATAGTAGGCCCTAAGTAATCAATAGCTGATGAAATGTCTGGCTAACTGACCCATCTTTTAATCATGTAGATCATTAGGTCAACAGTGTCCAATAGAAATGTAATAAAAAGACTGAGTGTAATGGCTCACGCCTGTAATCCCAACCCTTTGGGAGGCCGAGGCTGGAGGATCACTTGAGCCCAGGAGTTCAAGACTAGCCTGGGCAACATAGTAAGACTCCATCTCTACAAAAAAAAAGTTACCTGGGCTTGGTGGTGTGCACCTATAGTCCTAACTACTTGGGAGACAGAGGCAGAAGGATCACTTGTGCTCAGGAGTTCAAGGCAGCAGTGAGCTGTGATCATGCCATTAATTCCAGGCTGGGTGGCAGAGGGAGACAGACAGGAGAGGAGAGGGGAGGAGAGGAGAGGAGAGGAGAGGAGGGGAGAGGAGACGAGAGGAGATGAGAGGAGGAAAGAGCCTCATGTAGAAATTTAAATTTTCTAGTTGCCACATTTTTAAAAGTAAAAAGAAAACAAGACAGACTAATTTTAATAATATATTTTATGCAACCTAATATATTTAAAATATCATTTTAGCATGGGCTACCAATATTTAAAAATCATAAATGAGATATTTTTCATTTTAAAAAAATACTTAGTTTTCAAAATTTGGTGCATAGTTTACACTTGTGGCACACCTTATACAGATTAGCCACATTTCAAAGGGTTCAGTGGTCACAAAGATGAGTAGGTACTGACCCAGCTTCATAACAGAACAACTGATTGCTGTCAATGTCCTCTCAGAAATATGCTTCTCACGTAGAACTTTCACAGTCATTAACTTTCACTGAAAAATGATTCAGCTAATAAGTTTGTTTCATTTTATTTAGCTTTGTGATGCACACTAACAAAAGCCAAGATTATCTTAACAAAGAAAATATTGTAGTATTATAGTGTATTGTGTGTTTTAGCAGACTCAACAAGTGCAGTGCAGGAAATAACATCTTATGGAGGAGACCCAGGTTCCTTTGACTGGCGACGGGCTTTGGGAAGCACATTTTACTTTTGCCCTTTTTCTCTCTCTTGTGTTGCCATAAGACCCTGCCTAAGTGGCAGTCCTGGAAGGTAGTAGTCCTAACAAGAAGCAAGAGACCAGGGGACGTCAGGACAATAACTCTCTATATCACTCCTAGCAAAACTAGAATCCCTGCAATGCTCTACAAGCTCTCCCTCTCATCTGCCTCTGTCTTTGCAATCACTCACCTTGTCCCCTACTATTCTTCCCTTTGCCCACTCTGCTCCAGCCACATTGGTCTTGGTGTGCTATTTCTTGAATGTGTGCTCGTTTACTCCCCAACACTTTGCACAAGTCGTTTCCTTGGACAGGAGCACTTTTCCCCCAGATATTTTTATGGCTGACTTAGCCATGCTTTACAGCTTTGCTTAACTGTGTACGATGGGGTGTGTTTCATTGTTGATGGCCTTATTGATGATAATCATGAGTTTGCAAAAGCAACTGGTTAACTTCCATTATGTCACAATTTCTGATGAATATTGAGACTGCACATTGCGAATGAAGAGGATGTCTCCCTAGGTGAATCAAATAGCATTTTGTTGTTTTCTGGGAGTGCCAGGACCCTACATAAAGAGGGAGCCTGTGGGCTGAGACACTGGAACAGCAGTCAGGTAGGGAGCCATCACTTGCCTTGCACTGAGAAGGAAGACAAAGGCCAGCATGTCCAGGCTTTTTTTTTTTTTTTTTTTTTTGCTGCTGGTGCTGCTCTGGGGTGTGGGGTTGCACAGCTTCCCAGCGACTCCAGAAACACAAGAACAAGATGCAGAGATAGTCCAGGTAAATGCTGCATTGCAGCTGCCAGTAATGCAAGAGCAGCGTGTTCCCATTTTTCAAAGGTCAAGAGGTAGGAATTCAAGCAAGTTTGGGATTCATTTAGGAAACAAGTAGTTTGTCAGGAACAGGTCCCCTCATTTAAAAAAAAAAAAAAAAATATATCACTGGGTGCAGTGGCTTATACCAGTAATCACAGCACTTTGGAAGGCTGAGGTGGATCGCTTGAGTCCAGGGTTTGAGGTTGCAGTGAGCTATGATTGCACCACTGGACACCAGCCTGGGCAACGGAGCAAGACACTGTATCAAAAAAAGAAAAAAAGAAAAAAGAAGGTAAAGCTAGAGGGAACCAAAGGAGCAAGCAACACATAGACTGGCTGTACTAACTGTGATTCTGACCTCAAGAGTAAAGCTAGACTTAACAATGGCATGGGTTCTTCTACCACAGTAACATTTCTGCACCACTGCTAAACATAATAAGGGCTACGAGATCACTACAGAAGCAGACAGATTTTTTCCCTCTTCTCATTCAATTATTAAGGAAAAGGGCTATATTGTTACAATAGTGAAATGCTGCAATTTTTCAGAAAACTGAGAAAGACTTTACTTCTACTATTTTAGTATTCTTTTCTTTATAAGAAATACCTAGAAAACTGCTACTACAACTTGAAGAGTGAAATCAATCAAATTGGAAGGCAGAGAGACAGTAGCCCAGTGCTTGAGAAGCTGAAGCAAATGCAGAATTTCTTTGGGCTGAAGGTAACTGGGAAGCCAGATCGAATTTGATGAAGCAGCCCAGATGTGGGGTGCCTGATGTGGCTTCCCTCATCCTCACTCAAGAGAGCCCTTGTTGGGAGCAAACAAATCTGACCCACAGGTAATAAGACTGCGCACCAGAGTGAGAGACAGCTGTTTCCCACCACAGTGGGAAGAAATGAGGTTCTCTGTGTCTCTGTTCTCTCCTTTATCATTTTAAGGATCAAAACTACATGCCAAATCTGCCTCAAGAGGATGTGGACCGTGCCACTGGGAAAGCCTTTGAACTCTGGAGTAAGGCCTCGGCCCTGACCTTCACCAGGGACTTTGAGAGTGAAGGGGACATAATATTATCCTTTGTGTGAGGAGGTAAGCTCTTCTCTCCCAAAACCATTCTGAACGTTCCCTCCTGCTACCCTGGGATCTGCTCCATCAGAATTGCTGATGGAGGAAAGCCTCACAGATGAAGTGTGTCTTTTGGCTCCTTGCTATAGCTCTTTTGTCTCACCTGGGTAAGGCTGAATAAAACAAGGGTATATCTTTGTTGAATTCTTTTTCTTGCAGATCTCCATGACAATTCTCCCTTTTATGGACATGATGGTTGTCTTGCTCATGCATTCCCACCTGGACCAGGTATCGGAGGAGATGTTCATTTTGATAATGATGAAACAAGGACCAAGGATTTCAGAAGTGAGTCAGCTAATTCCTTCACTGCCTCTTTTATTTTTCCTTCCCATAGCTTATAGAATTTTTTTTGTTTTATCTGAAAGAATGCTTTCAGTAAAATGAACCAATTTTGACTTTATTAGTATAAATACTTTAATAAATATAAACTGTTGACACTATAAATTACTTTAAAAAGGTAACTATTTTGTCTCATTTCATAAAAATGTAAGAGAATAATATTTCTTCAAGCTGTGTAATTTTACTGACAAAAATACATTACTCTAAAATTTTTACTAGAATGTTTAATATCATATCATTATGTACATTTGTCAACTATTCAGTGCTTTGAAAATATTCAGGTTTTTGGATTTTGCATGCATAAAATGTAAGGACACTAGACCCTATCACAGTGCAAAATAAGTAACTTAAAGGAGTTTATTTGAGAGGCTGAGGTGGGTGGATCACTTTTAGGCCAGGAGTTCAAGCCCAGCCTGGCCAACATGGTGAAACCCTGTCTCTACTAAAAATACAAAATTAGCTGGGCATGGTGGCGTGTGACTGTGGTCCCAGCTACTCAACTTGGGAGGCTGAGGCACGAAAATCACTTGAACCAGGAGGCAGACGTTGCAGTGAGCCAAGATCGCACCACTGCACTCCAGCCTAGGGGACAGAGTGAGACTCTGTCTCAAGAAAATTTAAAAAAAAATTAAAAACTGGTTTAAATAAGCAAAGAATCTTGAAGCATACTAGCATAAGGTGTATATCTTGCCAATAAGGAGGATTTTTAAAAATATGAAGTTTCAAACTGCCTTTCTATGAGGTGGTAACTTCTATTTGTGCAGAGATACTCTGGCTTCATGATGTAAGATGAACTGACATTCTGGAGTAACCAAATGAACAAATACAGAATCCTTTGTCTGGAGTCAGCCTGGTCGAAAGCTCAGATATGTCTTCTGCAGAAGGTGTCCATCTGCCTCCCACCCTTGTAGTCCTGCAGGGTGCCCACCACACACACACACACCTGTGTAGCTTGAGAAGTAACCCAATTATACTAAGAAGAAAGGTCTTCTCGAGTGCACCTTACATTGGAATAAAACTCTCCATCCACTTCTCGTGAAGCAAATGTCTGGAGGAAATTCTGTCTAATATCTACTAGACTCCAGGCAAATCTTTTCATGGCCGATTTTTTGTTGACAGGCAGTAAGCACTGGGTCGTTCAGGAGGATCAACTGCTGAGTGGCTACCCCAGGGACGTCTACAGCTCCTTTGTCTTCCCTGAAAGGGTGAAGAAAATTGATGCTGCCATTTATGAGAAGGACACTGGAAAGACACATTTCTTTGTTGCCAATGAGTATTGGAGGTAAAGACCTACCCTCAGAAAACTTGGGAAATCAGATCACTCTGGTGGAAGGAGAGTTGCCTTTTAAAATTTTTCTCAAATTTCACTGAAACTTTCCTTTTTTCTGAGAATGAATGCAGCCAGGCCCACAGCCATTCAGTCCCCTACCTGTTATCACACTGCTGCCTAGCAAGGCAAGGAACTTGTTGGCTTGCATTTGAAAAGGAGATAAAGAGCAGAACACACAAAGGGGACTAGAGGCATCCAAAAAGGAGAAAATGAAGCATTTCTCCTTGATAGGACAGAACATGGAGCCCAAGGGAAAATTTGAATCAGATTTTTATGGTTGAGAATAACTTAGAGTTTGTCTAGTTTGCCCCACTCTCCCTCCCAGTTAAAATTTCTTAATAGTTTCATGCCAACAATGTACCCACCCATAATTTTTAAAAGCAGCCATCGGGGTTTTGCAAAATTGAGGCACAGACAGTACCTACCTCTCAGATTTGTTGTGAGAATTAAATGAATCTTCATATGAAAAGCACTTAGGACAGTGATTAGTACATGGAAAGTTCTACATGAAAGTTAAGTGTTTTTTATTGTTTTTATATTAACCACAATGTGATATTTTTAGTTATTTTTTGTTACCAGGTATGATGAAAATATGCAGTCCGTGGATGCAGGTTATCCCAAAATCATTGATGACCTCCCCGGAATTAGTAAAAAAAATTGACCTGTTTTGAAAAATAAAGGTAAAGACCATTCAATTTCCTCATTTCACTATCATAAAATTACACATTTAGTGTTACATAGATAAGACAGTAAACTGTGTACACAAAAATATGATATTTTCAAGAGTTCATGTGAAAAATCATTATCTAGTTTCTTTTATTTCTAGGTTTTTTCTATTTCTTTTGTAGAAGAAGGCAGTATGAATGTAATCCTAAAATGAAGCAAATTTTGACTCTCCTGAAAGCTAACATCTGGTTCAAGTGCAGAAATAACTGATGGTTGACTATCACCAAACAGAAAATAAAAAGTATTTTTAATGAGCCCAAAATATGTTCTTTTCTAAGAAACCAGGTATTTCAGTATTTTATTTCAGTCTCTTGGTAACACAAGGCAGAGACATAGAAATACAATCTTATTTAACTTCAATCTGAACATATTCTATGTTAGCTAGAATATATTGCTTCATGAACTTATATAAGTTAGTTTTAAGCAAGTACTAAGGGTTGTCAATCAAGGTCATCCTTAGGTTTTCACAGAAAAAAGCTTTTTACTAGAGTCCAAGACTCTGACTTTAACCTGAGCAGCTGCACATATGGGATGCATATCTCAATCCACCCAAGACAATAACAGCCCTCAGTTTCAACAAAGAAAAAACAGCGTAAAACTGTATCATCCTTACATGTACATGGCAACACTGTCACATATTAAAGAAAACAGACACTTAAACTTCGTATAAAAAATAAAGTGGCTGGGCACAGTGCCTCACGCCTGTAATCCCAGCACTTTGGGAAGCTGAGGCAGATAGATCACTTGAGGTCAGGAGTTCAAGACCAGCCTGGCCAAAATGATGAAACCCCATCTCTACTAACAAAAAATACACAAATTAGCCGGGTGTGGTGGCAGGCACCTGTAATCCCAGCTACTTGGGAGGCTGAGTCACAAGAATCACTTGAACCCAGGAGGTGAAGGTTGTAGTGAACCAAGATCGCGCCACTGCACTCCAGCCTGGGCAGTAGAGTGAGATTTAGTATATATATTTTAAAAAGGTAACTTTTATCAACATATAATATGAATACAGAAAAGCCATGTATCATAAGTATATAGCTGATGACTCTTCACAACACAACCAAGTAACCAGCACACAAAAGAAAATTGCCAGTATCCCCAAATCCCTTCTCCAGGTACTAAGCTTTCTAAGGGTAACTACTATCCTAACTTCTAATCTAATACCATAGATTAGCTTTATCTCTTTCAGTACTTAAAATAAATGGAATTATACATTATATACCTTAGTATCTGACTTCTGTCACTCAACATTATATTTATGAGATTCATCAATATATTTTTATGTAATTTTTGATCATTTATTCTCTTTGCTGTAGAGTTTCCATTGAGTGAATAATTTCCCACAATTTATCTCTCCAGTCTATGTTGAAGGACATATAAGTAGTTTCCAATTTGGGGCTATTACAAATAGTCTTCAGGGGAAGCAGAGCAAGATAGTTGAATAGAAGCTTCCAATAGTTGTCCTCACACCCCCGCAAGAACACAAAATTGAACAACTATTCACACAAAAAAGCAACTCCATAAGAACCCAAAATCGGGTGAGCAATCACACTACCTGGTTTTAACATCATATTAAGGAAAGAGGCACTGAAAAGGGTAGGAAAGACAGTCTTGAATGACCTACACCAGCCCTCTCCTATCCCCCTGCAGTGATCATATGGCATGAAGAGAGAATCTGCACTAGGGGAAGAGGGAGTGTACAGTGATTGTGAGACTTTGCATTGGAACTTAGTGTTGCCCTGTCATTAGTGTTGCAACACCAGGCAGAATTCAGTCAGCTCTTATGGAGGAAGAGAGAGAGAGAGAGAGAGAGAGACTCAATTTGGTGGGTAGGGGGGTGGGGGGGAAGTCAGGAAAGAGAAGAAGAGTCTCTGCCTGGTCATCCAGGGAATTCCTCTAGATCTTACCTAAGACTACCAAGCTGGTACATCTGTGGGTCTACAAGAGCCACAGGTTTACTGGGCTTGGGGTGCCCCCTAAAGCACATATGGCTGCTGTGACCAAAGACTTAGATCATAACAACCAAGTTGCTTGGAATACCTGGAAAGCCTTCCCAAAAAGGACAGGTACAAACAAGTCCAGACTAAAAAGACTATGATAAATACCTAACTCTTCAATGCCCAGACACTGATGAACATCTGTAAGCATCAGGATCACCCAGAAAAACACTACTTCACCAAACAAACTAAATAAGGCACCACAGACCAATCCTGGAGAGACAGAGATATGTGACCTTTCAGACAAAGAATTTAAAATTGCTCTTTTGAGGAAGCTCATCAAAATCCAGGATAACATGGAGAAGGAATTCAGAATCCTATCAAATAAATTTAACAAAGACATTGAAATAATTACGTGGAATCAAGCAAACATTCTGAAACTAAAAAATGCAATTGACATGCTGAAGAATGCATCAGAGTCTCTTAACAGCACAATTGATCAAGCTGAAGAAATAGTGAGTTTGAAGACAAGCTATTTGAAAATACACAGTCAGAGGAGACAAAAGAGAAAAGCATACGTACAAGATCTAGAAAATAACCTCAAAAGGGTAAATGAAAGAGTTATTGACTGTAAAGAGAAGGTAGAGAGAGAGAGATTAGAGTAGAAAGTTTATTCAAATGGATAATAACAGAGAATTTCCCAAACCTAGAGAAAGATATCAAGTACAAGAAGGTTATAAAACACCAAGCAGATTTAACCCAAATAAGACTACCTCAAGGCATTTAGTAATCAGTATCTGAAAGGACAAGGATAAAGACAGGATCCTAAAAGCAACAAGAAAAAAGAAACAACATGCAAAGGAGCTCCAATATGTCTGGCAGCACACTTCTCAGTGGAAATCTTAAAGACCAGGAGAGAGTAGCGTGACATATTTAAAGTGCTGAAGGAAAAAAAATTATCCTAGAATAGTATATCTAGGGAAAATACCCTTCAAACATGGAGAAATAAAGACTTTCCCAGACAAACAAAAGCTGTGGGATTACATAAGCACCAAACCTGTCCTATAATAAATGCTAAATGGATTTCTTCAATCTTAAAAAGAAGGATGTTAATGAGCAATAAGAAATAATCCAAAGGTACACAATTCAGGGGTAATAGTAAGTAAACAAAAAAAACACAGAATATTATAATACTATAACTGTAGTATGTAAACTTTCTATGCAAGGCATAGAAAGACTAAAAGATGAACCTTTGAAAAATAATAACTACAACAACTTTTCAAGACATAGTATAATAAGATATAAATATAAACAACAAAAAGTTAAAAAGTGGAGAGATGAGGTTAAAATGTACAGTTTTTATTAGTTATATTTTTGCTGGTTTATACAATTAGTGTTAAGTTGTCATCAGTTTAAAATACTGAACTATAAGATATTATTTGCAAGCCTCATGATAACCTCAAATCAAAAACCATACAACAGATATACAAAAAAATCAAAAGCAAGAATTTAAAACATACAACTTGAGAAAATTATCTTTACGAAAAGGAAGACAGGAAAGAACAAAAGAAGGAAGAGAAGACCAGAAAACAAATGACAAAATGGCAAGAGTAAGTCCTTACTTATCAATAATAACACTAAATATAAATGAACCAAAGTTTCCAGTCCAAAGATTCAGAATGGATTAAACAATAAGACCCAATGATCTATTGCTTACAAGAAACACACTTCACCTCTAAAGACACACATAGAATGAAAATAAAGAGATGGAAAATGATACTCTATACAAATGAAAGCCAAAAGAGAATAAGAGTAGCTATGCTTACATCAGACAAAATAAATATCAAGACGAAAAGTATAAAAACAGACAAAGTTGAGGGAGGAGCCAAGATGGCCGAATAGGAACAGCTCCAGTCTACAGCTCCCAGCGTGAGCAACGCAGAAGACGGTGATTTCTGCATTTCCATCTGAGGTACCGGGTTCATCTCACTAGGGAGTGCCAGACAGTGGGCCCAGGTCAGTGGGTGCGCGCACCGTGTGCGAGCCGAAGCAGGGCGAGGCATTGCCTCACTTGGGAAGCGCAAGGGATCAGGGAGTTCCCTTTCTGAGTCAAAGAAAGGGGTGACGGACGCACCTGGAAAATCGAGTCACCCCCACCCGAATACTGCACTTTTCCAACCGGATTAAAAAACAGCGCACCACGAGATTATATCCGGCACCTGGGTCGGAGGGTCCTACGCCCACGGAGTCTCGCTGATTGCTAGCACAGCAGTCTGAGATCAAATTGCAAGGCGGCAGCGAGGCTGGGGGAGTGGCGCCCGCCATTGCCCAGGCTTGATTAGGTAAACAAAGCAGCTGGGAAGCTCGAACTGGGTGGAGCCCACCACAGCTCAAGGAGGCCTGCCTGCCTCTGTAGGCTCCACCTCTGAGGGCAGGGCACACTCAAACAAAAAGACAGCAGTAACCTCTGCAGACTTAAATGTCCCTGTCTGACAGCTTTGAAGAGAGCAGTGGTTCTCCCAGCACGCAGCTGGAGATCTGAGAATGGGCAGACTGCCTCCTCAAGTGGGTCCCTGACCCCTGACCCCCGAGCAGCCTAACCGGGAGGCACCCCCCAGCAGGGGCATACTGACACCTCACACGGCAGGGTATTCCAACAGACCTGCAGCTGAGGGTCCTGTCTGTTAGAAGGAAAACTAACAAACAGAAAGGACATCCACACCAAAAACCCATCTGTACATCACCATCATCAAAGACCAAAAGTAGATAAAACCACAAAGATGGGGAAAAAACAGAACAGAAAAACTGGAAACTCAAAAAGCAGAGCGCCTCTCCTCCTCCAAAGGAATGCAGTTCCTCACCAGCAACAGAACAAAGCTGGATGGAGAATGACTTTGACAAGCTGAGAGAAGAAGGCTTCAGACGATCAAATTACTCTGAGCTATGGGAGGACATTCAAACCAAAGGCAAAGAAGTTGAAAACTTTGAAAAAAATTTAGAAGAATGTATAACTAGAATAACCAATACAGAGAAGTGCTTAAAGGAGCTGATGGAGCTGAAAACCAAGGCTCGAGAACTACGTGAAGAATGCAGAAGCCTCAGGAGCCAATGTGATCAACTGGAAGAAAGGGTATCAACGATGGAAGATGAAATGAATGAAATGAAGTGAGAAGGGAAGTTTAGAGAAAAAAGAATAAAAAGAAATGAGCAAAGCCTCCAAGAAATATGGGACTATGTGAAAAGACCAAATCTACGTCTGATTGATGTACCTGAAAGTGACAGGGAGAATGGAACCAAGTTGGAAAACACTCTGCAGGATATTATCCAGGAGAACTTCCCCAATCTAGCAAGGCAGGCCAACGTTCAGATTCAGGAAATACAGGGAATGCCACAAAGATACTCCTCGAGAAGAGCAACTCCAAGACACATAATTGTCAGATACACCAAAGTTGAAATGAAGGAAAAAATGTTAAGGGCAGCCAGAGAGAAAGGTCGGGTTACCCTCAAAGGGAAGCCCATCAGACTAACAGCAGATCTCTCGGCAGAAACCCTACAAGCCAGAAGAGAGTGGGGGCCAATATTCCACATTCTTAAAGAAAAGAATTTTCAACCCAGAATTTCATATCCAGCCAAACTAAGCTTCATAAGCAAAGGAGAAATAAAATACTTTACAGAAAAGCAAATGCTGAGAGATTTTGTCACCACTAGGCCTGCCCTAAAAGAGCTCCTGAAGGAAGCGCTAAACATGGAAAGGAACAACCGGAACCAGCTGCTGCAAAATCATGCCAAAACGTAAAGACCATCAAGACTAGGAAGAAACTGCATCAGCTAATGAGCAAAATCACCAGCTAACATCATAATGACAGGATCAAATTCACACATAACAATATTAACTTTAAATGTAAATGGACTAAATGCTCCAATTAAAAGACACAGACTGGCAAATTGGATAAAGAGTCAAGACCCATCAGTGTGCTGTATTCAGGAAACCCATCTCATGTGCAGAGACACACATAGGCTCAAAATAAAAGGACGGAGGAAGATCTACCAAGCAAATGGAAAACGAAAAAAGGCAGGGGTTGCAATCCTAGTCTCTGATAAAACAGACTTTAAACCAACAAAGATCAAAAGAGACAAAGAAGGCCATTACATAATGGTAAAGGGATCAATTCAACAAGAAGAGCTAACTATCCTAAATATATATGCACCCAGTACAGGAGCACCAAGATTCATAAAGCAAGTCCTGAGTGACCTACAAAGAGACTTAGACTCCCACACATTAATAATGGGAGACTTTAACACCCCACTGTCAACATTAGACAGATCAACGAGACAGAAAGTCAACAAGGATACCCAGGAATTGAACTCAGCTCTGCACCAAATGGACCTAATAGACATCTACAGAACTCTCCACCCCAAATCAACAGAATATACATTTTTTTCAGCACCACACCACACCTATTCCAAAATTGACCACATAGTTGGAAGTAAAGCTCTCCTCAGCAAATGTAAAAGAACAGAAATTATAACAGACTATCTCTCAGACCACGGTGCAATCAAACTAGAACTCAGGGTTAAGAATCTCACTCAAAGCCGCTCAACTACATGGAAACTGAACAACCTGCTCCTGAATGACTACTGGGTACATAACGAAATGAAGGCAGAAATAAAGATGTTCTTTGAAACCAACGAGAACAAAGACACAACATACCAGAATCTCTGGGATGCATTCAAAGCAGTGTGTAGAGGGAAATTCATAGCACGAAATGCCCACAAGAGAAACCAGGAAAGATCCAAAATTGACACCCTAACATCACAATTAAAAGAACTAGAAAAGCAAGAGCAAACTCATTCAAAAGCTAGCAGAAGGCAAGAAATAACTAAAATCAGAGCAGAACTGAAGGAAATAGAGACACAAAAAACACTTCAAAAAATTAATGAATCCAGGAGCTGGTTTTTTGAAAGGATCAACAAAATTGATAGACCGCTAGCAAGACTAATAAAGAAAAAAAGAGAGAAGAATCAAATAGACGCAATAAAAAATGATAAAGGGGATATCACCACTGATCCCACAGAAATACAAACTACCATCAGAGAATACTACAAACACCTCTACGCAAATAAACTAGAAAATCTAGAAGAAATGGATAAATTCCTCGACACATACACTCTCCCAAGACTAAACCAGGAAGAAGTTGAATCTCTGAATAGACCAATAACAGGATCTGAAATTGTGGCAATAATCAATAGCTTACCAACCAAAAAGAGTCCAGGACCAGATGGATTCACAGCCAAATTCTACCAGAGGTACAAGGAGGAACTGGTACCATTCCTTCTGAAACTATTCCAATCAATAGAAAAAGAGGGAATCCTCCCTAACTCATTTTATGAGGCCAGCATCATTCTGATACCAAAGCCAGGCAGAGACACAACAAAAAAAGAGAATTTTAGACCAATATCCTTGATGAACATTGATGCAAAAATCCTCAATAAAATACTGGCAAAACGAATCCAGCAGCACATCAAAAAGCTTATCCACCATGATCAAGTGGGCTTCATCCCTGGGATGCAAGGCTGGTTCAATATACACAAATCAATAAATGTAATCCAGCATATAAACAGAGCCAAAGACAAAAACCACATGATTATCTCAATAGATGCAGAAAAAGCCTTTGACAAAATTCAACAACCCTTCATGCTAAAAACTCTCAATAAATTAGGTATTGATGGGGCCTATTTCAAAATAATAAGAGCTATCTATGACAAACCCACAGCCAATATCATACTGAATGGGCAAAAACTGGAAGCATTCCCTTTGAAAACGGGCACAAGACAGGGATGCCCTCTCTCACCACTCCTATTCAACATAGTGTTGGAAGTTCTGGCCAGGGCAATTAGGCAGGAGAAGGAAATAAAAGGTATTCAATTAGGAAAAGAGGAAGTCAAATTGTCCCTGTTTGCAGACGACATGATTGTATATCTAGAAAACCCCATCGTCTCAGCCCAAAATCTCCTTAAGCTCATAAGCAACTTCAGCAAAGTCTCAGGATACAAAATCAATGTACAAAAATCACAAGCATTCTTATACACCAACAACAGACAAACAGAGAGCCAAATCATGAGTGAACTCCCATTCACAATTGCTTCAAAGAGAATAAAATACCTAGGAATCCAACTTACAAGGGATGTGAAGGACCTCTTCAAGGAGAACTACAAACCACTGCTCAATGAAATAAAAGAGGATACAAACAAATGGAAGAACATTCCATGCTCATGGGTAGGAAGAATCAATATCGTGAAAATGGCCATACTGCCCAAGGTAATTTACAGATTCAATGCCATCCCCATCAAGCTACCAATGCCTTTCTTCACAGAATTGGAAAAAACTACTTTCAAGTTCATATGGAACCAAAAAAGAGCCCGCATTGCCAAGTCAATCCTAAGCCAAAAGAACAAAGCTGGAGGCATCACACTACCTGACTTCAAACTATACTACAAGGCTACAGTAACCAAAACAGCATGGTACTGGTACCAAAACAGAGATATAGATCAATGGAACAGAACAGAGCCCTCAGAAATAACGCCGCATATCTATAACTATCTGATCTTTGACAAACCTGAGAAAAACAAGCAATGGGGAAAGGTTTCCCTATTTAATAAATGGTGCTTGGAAAACTGGCTAGCCATATGTAGAAAGCTGAAACTGGATCCCTTCCTTACACCCTATACAAAAATCAATTCAAGATGGATTAAAGACTTAAACGTTAGACCTAAAACCATAAAAACCCTAGAAGAAAACCTAGGCATTACCATTGAGGACATAGGCATGGGCAAGGACTGCATGTCTAAAACACCAAAAGCAATGGCAACAAAAGACAAAATAGACGAATGGGATCTAATTAAACTAAAGAGCTTCTGCACAGCAAAAAAACTACCATCAGAGTGAACAGGCAACCTACAAAATGGGAGAAAATTTTTGCAACCTACTCATCTGACAAAGGGCTAATATCCAGAATCTACAATGAACTCAAACAAATTTACAAGAAAAAAACAAACAACCCCATCAAAAAGTGGGCAAAGGACATGAACAGACACTTCTCAAAAGAAGACATTTATGCAGCCAAAAAACACATGAAAAAATGCTCATCATCACTGGCCATCAGAGAAATGCAAATCAAAACCACAATGAGATACCATCTCACACCAGTTAGAATGGCAGTCATTCAAAAGTCAGGAAACAACAGGTGCTGGAGAGGATGTGGAGAAATAGGAACACTTTTACACTGTTGGTGGGACTGTAAACTAGTTCAACCATTGTGGAAGTCAGTGTGGCGATTCCTCAGGGATCTAGAACTGGAAATACTATTTGACCCAGCCATCCCATTACTGGGTATATACCCAAAGGACTATACATCATTCTGCTATAAAGACACATGCACGCATATGTTTATTGCGGCATTATTCACAATAGCAAAGACTTGGAACCAACCCAAATGTCCAACAATGATAGACTGGATTAAGAAAATGTGGCACATATACACCATGGAATACTATGCAGCCATAAAAAATGATGAGTTCATGTCCTTTGTAGGGACATGGATGAAATTGGAAATCATCATTCTCAGTAAACTATCGCAAGAACGAAAAACCAAACACCGCATATTCTCACTCATAGGTGGGAATTGAACAATGAGAGCACATGGACACAGGAAGGGGAACATCACACTCTGGGGACTGTTGTGGCGTGGGGGGAGGGGGGAGGGATAGCATTGGGAGATATACCTAATGCTAGATGACGTGTTAGTGGGTGCAGTGCACCAGCATGGCACATGTATACATATGTAACTAACCTGCACAATGTGCACATGTACCCTAAAACTTAAAGTATAATAATTAAAAAAAAGAGACAAAGTCATTAAGGTAATAAAGTGGTCAATTCAGCAAGAGTGCATAGCAATTGTCAATATATATGCATAAAATACTGGAGCACCCAAATATATAAAGCAAATATTATTAAAGCTAAAAAGATAGATAGACCCTAACACATTAATAGCTGGAGACTTCTATATGCTATGGGACAGATCTTCCAGACAGAAAATTAACAAAGAAACATTGGAATTAATGCAGTATAGACCAAATGGATCTAATAGATATTTACAGAACATTTCATCCAACAGGTACAGAATACACACTCTTCTCCTCAGCACATGGATCATTCCCAAGGATAGATCATATGTTACACCATAAAACAAGTCTATAAAATTCAAAAAAAAAAAACTGAAATAATATCAAGTGTCTTTTCTGATCACAATGGAATAAAACTAGAAATCAATAACAAGGAATTTTGGAAACTATACAAACACATGGAAATTAAACAATATCCTCCTGAATGACCAGTGAGTCAATAAAGAAATTAAGAAAGAAATGAAAACATTTCTTGTAACAAATCAAAGTGGAAATACAAAATAGCAAAACCTATGGGATACAGTGAAGCAGTACTAAGAGAAAAGATTATAGCAGTAAGTGCTTACATCAAAAAAGTATAAAAACTTCAAATAAATAACATAATAATGCCTCTTAAAAAACTAAAAAAGCAGGAGCAAATCAGACCCAAAATTAATAGAAGAAAAGAAATAATAAAGATCAGAACAGAAATAAATGAAATTAAAACAAAAAAATACAAAAGATCAACAAAACAAAAAGTTGGCTTTTTGAAAACATAAACAAAAGCAACAAATCTTTTGCCCAGTTAACTAAGAAAAAAGGGAGAAGACCCAAGTAAGTAAAATTAGATATGAAAAAGGAGACATTAAAACCAATACTGCAGAAAAAGATCATTAGAGGCTACTATGAGCAACTATATGCCAACAAATTGGAAAACCTAAAAGAAATGGATAAATTTCTAGACACATACAACCCACCAAGATTGAACCATGAAGAAATCCAAAATCCGAATAGGCCAATAACAAGTAATGAGATTGAAACTTAATAAATGTCCCCCAGCAAAGAAAAGCTCAGGACCCAAAGCCTTCACTGCTGAATTCTACCAAACATTTAAAGAAGAACTAACACCAATTCTACTCACACTATTCCAAAAATAAAGGAAGAGGGAATACTATCAAACTCATTCCATGAGGACAATATTACCTTGATACCACAACCAGAAAAAGACACGTCAAAGAAAGAAACTACAGGCCAATATTCTTGATAAACATTGACACAAAAATCCTCAACAAAATTCTAGCAAACTGGGTTCAACAACACAGTGAAAAGATAATTCATCATGACCAAATGGGATTTATCTTAGGTATGCAAGAATGGGTCAGCATACACAAATTAATCACTGTGATACATCATATCAACAGAATGAAGGATAAAAATCATATAATTTTTTTAATTAACGCTGAAAAAGCATTGATAAAATTCAACATCACTTCATGTTAACAATTCTCAAACAACTGGGTACAGAAGGAACATACCTGAACCCAATAAAAGTCCTATATGACATACAGCTACTGGGTGACATTACTGAATGGGGAAAACTGGAAGCCTTTCCTCTAAGATCTGGAAAAAAACAAGGATGACCACTTTCACCATTGTTATTCAACATAGTACTGGAAGTCCTTAGAAACTATACAAACACATGGAAATTAAACAATATCCTCCTGAATGACCAGTGAGTCAATGAAGAAATTAAGAAGGAAGCTAGAGCAACAAGACAAGAGAAGGATATAAAAGGCATCCAAATTTGAAAGGAAAAAGTAAAATTATCCTTGTTTGCAGAATATAAAATTTTATATTTGGAAAAACCTAAAAACGCCACCAAAAAACTTATTAGAACTGATAAACAAATGCAGCAAAGTTGCAGGATAAAAAATCAACATACAAATATCGACAGCATTTCTATATGTGAACTGCAAACAATCTAAAAAAGAAATCAAGAAAGCAATCCCATTTACAATAGCTACAAATAAAATAAAATATCTAGAAATAAACTTAATCGAATAAGTGAAAAATCTCTACAATGAAAACCATGAAACATTTATGCAAGAAATTGAGAAGGACACCAAATAATGGAAAGATATTTCATGTTCATGGATTGGAAGAATCCACATCATTAAAATATCCTTGCTACCCAAAGCAATCTACAGATTTAACGTAATTCCTGTCAAAATGCCAATGACATTCTTCACAGAAATAGAAAAAGCAATATTAAATTTATACAAAGCCATAAAATACCCAGAGTAGCCAAAGCTATCCTGAGCAAAAAGAACAAAAATGGAAGAATCACATTACCTGACTTCAAATTATACTACACACTATGGTAAACAAAACAGCATGGTACTGGCATAAAAACAGACACATAGACTAATGGAACAAAATAAAGAATCCAGAAGTAAATCCATGAATCTACAGTAAACTTGCTTTTGACAAAGGTGCCAAGAACATACACTGGGGAAAGATAGGGGTCTAGTTTCATTCCTCTGCATATGGATATTCAGTTTTTTCAACAACATTTATTGAAGAGACTATCTCTTCCCCCATGTATGTTCTTAGCATATTTGTTGAAAATGGTTCATTGTAGCTGTGTGGATTTATTTGTATTTCTGGGCTATTTTATTCCATTCGTCTATGTGTCTGTTTTTATGCCAGTATCATGCTGTTTTGGTTACTATAGTTCTGTAGTATAATTTGAAGTCAGGTAATGTGATTCCTCCAGTTTTGCTCTTTTTGCTTAGGATAGCTTTGGCTATTCTGGGTTTTGTGTGTGTGGTTCCAAATAAATTCTAGGATTTTTTTTTCTATTTCTGTGAAGAATGTCATTGTTGTGTTCATAGGGACTGTATTGAATCTGTAGATTGCTTTAGGTAGTACGGACATTTTAACAATATTGACTATTCCAATCAATGAACATGGAATATTTTTCCATTTCTTGGTGTCCTCTTCAATTTCTTTCATCAGTGTTTTATGGTTTTCATTACAGAGATCTTTCAGTAATTCCTAGGATTTAGTTTTGTGACTACTGTACATAGGACTGCTTTTTCATTTCTTTTTCAGTTTGTTCACTGTCGTCCCACAGAAATGGTACTGAATTATGTATGTTGATTTTGCATCCTGCAACTTTACTGAATTTATCAGATCTAATAGTTTTTTGGTGGAGTCTTTAGATTTTTCCAAATATAAGATTAAATCATCTGCAAACAAGAATAATTCAACTTCTTCCTTTGCAACTTAGATACTCTATATCTTTTTCTTGTATGATTGCTCTAGCTAAGACTTCTGGTACCATGTTGAATAACAGTGGTGAAAGTGGGTATCCTTGTCATGTTCCAGATCTAAGAGAAAAGGCTTTCAGTTTTGCCCCATTCAGTATGGTACTAGCTGTGGGCCTGTCATTTTACTATTTATTGCCTGTCTTCCCCTGCTACAGTGGAAGCTCCATCAGGATGTGTGGCAGGGAGAGGGGTGGGGGATTTGCTATGTATTATTGTTTTGTCTGTTTATTTTACTAATATAATGCAAAATCCAAGTAAGTACTTAATAAAAGTTTTTAAATAAATTAACACAGAATTGATGCTGGATTCCAGAAAAGATGGAAAGTTAATAAAAAGGTATATAGTCAGTTTGACCAGCTCCTGAAAAATTTCTTGGCTTCGTCTTCATTAGTGCAGAGGCTAGAATATTACAGACATTGCAGCAGCCCCCAGAAATGCTCAGAGCCTAAGACCAAGTTTCTGATGGGTTCCTGGGGAGAAAATCCACCAATGAATATGAGAAATCAGAGTGGTTGTGTTTAGACTTTGCCAATAAGCACTCTGCCTTGAGATTTCAGGGAGACTGATAGTCCCATGGAAATATAAGATCTCAGGGGAAGTATGCATTTGTAATAACCATATCTGTCAAAGGACTTGTTTCATCCTGCTGAACTCATGACTGGAGTCGCCCCAAAAGTGGCAGCAAGGGAATTCCTGCAAGGAAGTGCCCAAGACTGTCTCCAGATGGGGCCAGCTGAGATTCCAAAGAAGGAAGCACTAAATGCCAGGGTGAGAAGGACAACACATTTATTAGGGGTATTTACTTACAGAGTTCTTTGGTGTATCCTCTCAAAGAACAATCACGGTAGAGGGGTGTCCTACATAGATATGTCTTCATCTAGGGGGTAATATGTCTATATGAGGATTTAAAGATTTGGTTCAGGGCCAGGGCCAGTTTCTTTCTAGTAAACCTAGATATCTTTATCACTACCAGGGAATTTTCAAGTTCCTGGTTTGGTTTCAAGACTGCTGGGAAAACCTTACAGCTGGCAAGGACACAGGGTGGTCAAGGCACTCTGATTTTTGGTCAGGACACAGAAAAAAAAAGTGAGGGGAACTGGGGAACCCTGCAGGAGTTTTATTCAGAATATATAAGAAATCTAACATATTAATAATAAAGTGACACATGCAATTAAAAATGCATGGGAGTTTTAATCAGACTCTTCACAAAGACATATATATGGCCAATAAACACATTTAAAAAGTACTTAACATTATTAGTTATCGAGAAAATAAAATTCTTATAAGGCACCACTAAAAAAAATCCACTAAAATCATTAATGTTAATAAGACTGACAACACCAAACATTGATGAGGAGCTAGAACATCTGGAAGGCTCATACAATATCAAATTGCTCACAGTTCAATATTTATTCACCCTATGACTTCTACATATTTGCCCAAGATAAATGAAAACATAAATACCCCAAAAAAGCTTGCTCAAGAATTCATAACAGCTTTATTCTTGATAGTCCAAATCTGAAAATAGTGGCATATTCATACAATAGAATATTACCACTAGTACTATATACAACAACATGGATTAAACTGAAAACCATTAAAATGTCTCTCTTATCCTAAGAGACATCATTCTAGGCAAAAGAAGCCAGGCACAGAAGCTAATATATACTTTTGATTCCATTATATGAACTTTAAGATTATAAAAAGTAATATATAGGAAATGAAATCAGAACAGTGATTGACACTGAGGAGGGACTGTGTTTGACCAAGAAAGAACTCAGAGAACTCAGATGATGGAAATGTTCTCTTCCTTCATGAGGTATGGGATACATTGGCTTATACATTTGTCAAAACTCACCGAACAGTGTAGTTAAGACTTGTGTACTTCACTATATGTCAATAGTATCTCAAAAATATATAAAGAAAAAAGAAATTAACAGCAAAAGGAAGTCTTAATTATTCTATAACTATAAAATAATGTTTAATGGTTTAAATATCTTCCCACAAAGAAAACATTAAGCTTAGATGGTTTTATTGGTTTGTTTTGCCAAAAGATCCATGTCAAGGAATAGATCATTCCAATCTTACACAAACTCTTTCAGAGAAAACAGAGGACATATTCCACCATCACCATATAGCACATAGGGAGCAACTTTAGGTACTTTCTTATTAATACTGGGAATAAGAGAAGGATGCCTGCTATCACTGATATTCGTTTAATATAGTCCTGGATATCCTGTCAAAAACTGAAATGAGGCCATGAACAGTGAATCATGCCTGTAATCCCAGCCCTTTGGGAGACTGAGGCAGGAGGATTGCTTGAGCCCAGGATTACAAGACCAGCCTGGGCAACATCAGTAAGACCTCATTACTACAAAAAAAAAAAAAAAAATTAAAATGAGGAAAATATCAACAGTTATAAAGATCAAAAGGGAAGAGTCCAAATTATAATTATTTGTAGATAATTTGATAATTTACATAGAAAACCTCAAAAGAATCAAAACTCTTAAGATGAGAAAAATTGTAATGTTTCCAAGTACATCAACACATCAAAATCATTTACATGTCTATATATGCACAATAAACAAGTAGATCAAACATAGAAAACAAAATATTAATAGCCACAGCAAAATCAATTACCTCTTTAGGAAATAACATAGCAAAAACAGAACAACCCCTTAAAAATGAGAATTTAAGACTCTATTACAGACATATAAGAAAAATAGAATATGATCTTCATGTATGGAATGACCTAATACTCTAAAGATGACAATTTTTCCAAAATTAATTTGTAAATGGGAAGCAATTTTAACTAAATTCCAATGGCAGTATTTGGGAAAGGAAAATTGATTGCAAGGCTTTTATTTATAAAAAAAAAAATACACACTAGGAGCTAAGAATTTTGACAAAGAACAAAGAAGGAGAGAGTCCCACCAAATATTAAGACATTTTACAAAACCTCTGTGACCCCAGTGGTGCAAAACTTACGCAGGAGCAGAGACATAAGCTAATGGAACTAAATACAAGTCCAGAAACATGCTTTTGGTATGATAGGGGTGGTACTACAAATTAGAAGAAAAAAAAGAATGAATCCTCAAATAGTTGTTTGGAGGCACTACATGGAAAAAATAAAGATGAATTCTGTATCCCAGCAAGTGCAAGTAACAGATACTCTTCACTGTGGAGTTCCAGCTACTGGGCACATGGAAGAATTATACTCCTTAGCCTCCTTGCAGTGGGATGGGACCACATGACTAGTTCTGGACTATGACTTGTGCTTGGTTCTGGGCTGGAACATTTCATTGCTTGTGCAAAACCCTTTAGAAATCTTTTTTCAACCAACATGACAGAGAGAATTCAAGATCACAGCTTCTCTGGAGGTCTGTGAAACTGGGTCACTGCCATACACAGAGGTCCTCTGTCAAACCATAATTGACACATAGCACAAGCAAGAAATAAATCTGAGCTGTCTTATAAGACTAAAGGATGCAGGGCCTATTACCAAAGTGTAATTTTGCTTATTCTTTCTGATGCAGACCATGCACAAAAGTATACTTTGAATTGGTTAAAGACTTCAATATGAAAGGTAGAACTAATTCAACAAAATACATAGGAGAATATTTTGACCATCATAATGTGGGGAAGAATATCTCAAATAACACCAAAAAAGCATAACTCATAACGGGCAAAGCTGATAGTTTTGATTACATTGAAATTAAAGAATTATATTAAATGAGAAACAGAGAAAGTGTCTGCAACATATGAAACTAAGGAAAGATTAATAGGTGGTTCAGAGAAGAAATTCTTTTAAATCAACATGAAAAAGGTAAGAAATCCAGTAGAAATGCAGGCATGGAAATAAGTTGGCTATTATTAGAAGGGGAAATCTGGGTAGCTGACAGCATATAAAGAGATATCCAATCTTACTAGTAATCAACGGAATACCAATGTAAAAAAGATACCTACTTATACCTACCAAAAATGGCAGAAATTAGAAGTTCTGGTTATATTAAGTGCTGATAAAAACATGGGGAATATGAACCCTTATTTACAGCGGGCAGAACTGTTAATTGGTGCAACCATTGTGAAGCAAAATCTGGCTGTATCATAAGAATACCTGTATTCTAACCCCAGTAGTCCCACTTGTAAGTATTCATTCTGACTGTGATCCCCAGGAGACTTGTAGGGCAGCCAATACAGAACTATTTGTGAGAGCGGGAAGCTAGCCACCGCCTGGATGGCCATTGTTGGTGAACTGACACTTAGAATGTGATAGCCCTTATCAAGTAAGCTAAAACTGCCACCCACAACCTGGCATTAAGATCTGTTAACAGAGGACAAAATAATGTGCTTAGGAACATTGTGACCACTGTGGAGTTTCTCATTCTGCATTCTCACCTAAAGCAAACTATTCATTTTAATGAGCTTTGGCCAAGTCTTTAATGTCCAGTTCTCCCACTAACCTACCTAGTTCAAAACCTGGGCTCATCCTTACTAAATGAGATAAATGGGATCTATTTGTTTTACATTCTTATTTCGAAGAAGACTGTTGATCTGACCGAACAGTTCACCCTCCGAATACCCCAGTGGACTTTGGCGCCCTCTGCTGGTTTTACAGGGGGCATGATGACCACTAGCATGGCTAAGAGTGACAGGTCTCAGCCATCCGTGACTTCATTGAAGGCCACTGGTTGCGTCTGCTATACACCAGCTTACTCTGGGAGCATTAAGCCATAGAAAAATATCTGGATGGAGACATTTCAAAATGTTAACATTGGTTACCTCTAGAAGAGGGGACTGAAGTAGGGGGAAAGGGGGTTAGAAAACTTCACATTTACTTACCGTACTTCTGAAAGTTTGGAATTTTTTTTTTAATAAGCATGTATTTTTGTATTACTAGACTATTTAAAAATAAGTGATTTTTAAAATAAAATAAATCGTTTGAACAACACTTTCTATATTGCTTTTCGTGCATTACCTCCTTAAAGCCCACGGCTTTGAAATAAGAACGTAAAACAATATAGCAATATAGAAAGTGCTCCTATCCTGTGAGGCTTTTTTTTATATTTAATTGCCAGAGAACTGTAATTTTTATCTGTTATTTTGCACTCTGTGTTAAACATTTTCTACACATCCATATTTAATCTTCACAACATTCCTATGATGTCAGGGCTATTGTTACCACCATTTTACACGCAAGGAATTAAAACTTAGGGATGTGAAGTGAACTGTGTCTAGGGTCCCACAGTAATAAGTGGCCAATTAGGGATGTGCAATTAAGACAGAGAGATGAAGGAACTTGTGCAAGGTCAAGCAAATGATAGAGTGGAGTCAAACCCAGGTCTTCGGATTTCCATTCCCCATGCTAAAGAGAAACAGGCTGTCTGTGAGTACCTCGGGCTTGTCACTTCAGGTTCCTCTGATGTTTGGTCCTGATGTATGAGGCAACCACATCTGTAGAATTTGGAGGAAGAAAGAGTCAGAAAGTTCCCATAATGACCTTAATGTGACATTTAAACTAAAGAAGCTACTCAGGCAGAAGGTCAACTCCAGTAGAAGACTTTGTGGAGACTGAACAGAAAGAGCCTTGGAATTAAACCAAACTTGGATTCCCAAATTCTGCCACACATTACACATCTGCCAGTGTGTGATCTCAGGTAATTCACTTAACCTTTCTGATCCTCAGTTTCTGTATTGCTTTTAAAAGACGTAATACCTAAGAAATTTACATAAAAGTGACTTTGCAAAAGCCTTTATGACAGTACCTCACTTCTAATGAGTATTCAGTAAATACTCACATATTCTTGGCATGGAAAGTCAAAATGGAGAACAGGGTGGGTGCAGGTTATCCTGGAGTTATAGGGCATGGTCTCCTAAAGGGCTTTTCAAATCACATGCAGACCACAGATCCTGAAGTGCCCTTCCCTGTGCAGTCAGTCTACACATTTACTGACTACCTCCATCTCTTCTCATTGAGAATTATTGCCTGTAACAGAAAGATCAATGGTCCCAAAAATGCCCACATCCTGACCCGTGAACATGTTAGCTTACATGGCAAAAGAGGTTTCACAGGTGTGATTTGGGTTAAGGACCTTGAAATGGGAGATTAGCATTATCTCAGTGGGTCCAATCAAATCACCTGAGTCCTCACAAGTGGAGACCCTCCCCCAACTGTGATCAGGGAGAGACAAGAAGATGGAATAAGGGTTAGAGAGAAGTGATATTGCTGGTTTTGAAGATGGCAGAGGTGGAAATACAGGCCAAGGGATGCAATAGCCTCTAGAAGCTGGAAACAACACAGAAACTGATTCTCCTCTATAGCTCCCAGAAGGAACACAGCACTGCTAACATATTGATTTTAGCCCAGTGAGACCCATACCAGACTTCTGACCTGCAGAATCGTAAGGCAATGAATTTATCTTGTTTTGAGCCATTGGACGTGTGGTTATATGTTACAGCAGCTGCGGAAAACTAATCCACTGCCCCTGACAAGCCAATGTCACCAAAGGGCATATGTGGTGTCTTTCTGATATTTTAGGTTAAAAAATAAATTCAGGTTGAGAACCATTGATCAAGAGGAGTGAGAACAGAATCTAGTGGGGACTATATAGATGTGAGACAGTTTATTGAGATGAATTCTCACAGACTCCAACAGGCGTATGTGGGTGACAGCTGGTTGGGCTCCAAGGGGGATGGGAGCCAGATGTGTGGTGTGAGGAGCAGGTGTGTGATGTGAGGAGGAGCAGGTGTGTGGTGTGAGGATTGGGTGTGTGGTGTGAGGAGGAGCAGGTGTGTGGTGTGAGGAGTGGGTGTGTGGTGTGAGGAGGAGCAGGTGTGTGGTGTGAGGAGTGGGTGCGTGGTGTGAAGAGGAGCAGGTGTGCGGTGTGAGGAGTGGGTGCGTGGTGTGAGGAGCGGGTGTGTGGTGTGAGGAGTGGGTGTGTGGTGTGAGGAGGAGCAGGTGTGTGGTGTGAGGAGTGGGTGTGTGGTGTGAGGAGAAGCAGGTGTGTGGTGTGAGAAAGAGCCGGTGTGTGGTGTGAGAAGGAGCGGGTTTGTGGTGTGAGGAGCGGTTGTGTGGTGTGAGGAGTGGATGTGTGGTGTGAGGAGGAGCGGGTGTGTGGTGTGAGGAGTGAGTGGTGTGAGGAGTGGGTGTGTGGTGTGAAGAGGAGCAGGTGTGTGGTGTGAGGATTGGGTGTGTAGTGTGAGGAAGAGCAGGTGTGTGGTGTGAGGATTGGGTGTGTAGTGTGAGGAAGAGCAGGTGTGTGGTGTGAGTAGTAGGTGTGTGGTGTGAGGAGGAGCGGGTGTGTGGTTTGAAGGAGTAGAGGCACTGACTGGGCTTCCAAGAAGTTTGACAGTGAGGGAAAGGAAACAGGATGGTAACTCAAGTGATTAATAGGGTAGAAAGAAGTCTGTTGTTTGGTTTTATTTTGTTTTACTAGAGAAACCATGTAGGCAAACAGGAAGCAGCCAGTGAGGGAAAGGAAATAGCGGGGGAATGTGTAAGGAGAATAGTTCTGGTGTGGAGATACAGAAAGAGTCCCATGGACACACTAAGAAATTGAATATTTTGGTGGTAAAAATGAGAGAAAACGAGGGCATTTACTTAAAGTGGGAAGTAATACCTTGCTATAGCTAGACATTGTTAGAAAATCAAGAATGGAGAAGATTTAGAAAAGACAGTGCCTCAGGAAAAATGAAAAATGAGGCATTCCAGCCACACAGCTGGATTGATTTAGTAGAAAAGAGAGTTTTGGCAAAATCCACTTCGCAGTTTCCTGCCTCTACATACACAGAGCGGCCTGGAATGGAAATGTTTACTTTTCTGCCATCTGTTCTCGTGGGTCTGTCAAACTAGTTTCTGGACAGTCGTTGACTCTCAATGGGTCATTTTCTCCATTCTTTCTTATCCTCAACACCCTCTAGTTGGGAGGACAATAGATACAGGGGCAGAAATGGAAATGTTTGGGGCTAATCAAAACCATAAGGATAAGATCCTCCATGCTCACTCTAGCTACTCTCTCACTTGCCTGGACCATGGCGGCTGCTCAGCAGGCCTTTTAATCAGCCTCATCTGTGGGTTGAATTCACTACCACGGCTTCTCTAAGTCTCCACTTCCTTCAGCTCCAGCCTTAGCCTTGATTCCATCTGTCATCCTCAAGAGAACTCTTTGACTCTCAAGACAACTCTGTTTTTGTTTTTTTTGTTTTTTTTTTTTTTGAGACAGAGTTTCGCTCTTGTCGCCCAGGCTGGAGTGCAATGGCACGATCTCGGCTCACCACAACCTCTGCCTCCCGGGTTCCAGCAATTCTCCTGACTCAGCCTCCCAAGTAACTGGGATTACATGCACGTGCCACCATGCCCAGCTTATTTTGTATTTTCAGTAGAGACGAGGTTCCTCCATGTTGGTCAGGCTGGTCTCGAACTCCCAGCCTCCGGTGATCTGCCTGCCTCAGCCTCCCAAAGTGCTGGGATTGCAGACGTGAGCCACCGCACCCGGCCTTAAGGCAACTTTTATTTTATCTGTGTGTATCTGTGATGCGAATTGCTGCTCCTTGGAGATGTGTGGTGTGATGACCCAGGTTCCCTCCTGTCTTCTTCAACCTCATTTCTTCACCATCCATCCCCACACCAAGAGTAAGACCCATGACCACCCGCTAGGGCCAGGTCCTCACGACCTTTCACTTAAACTCTTACTCCACCTTTTAATTGTTCTTCTTATTTATAACCTCTCTTCAGTCCAGTCTATCCTAGATACTATGGCCCGGTTAGTTTTATTAAGTCAGCATAGATTGTTACATGGCTCAGAAACAAACAATGTCTGCTCATTGCTGGCCTTTTGATGTTTAATTCCTGCCCCTCCACTATCTGGTTCTAGCCTACCATTCCAAGCTGCTTCTCTTTATATGCTCTATGCTGATTCCCCCAGACCCTTGTTATTCTTCACTTACAATCCAAGATTTCTTACCACAATACCTTTGCTTTTTGCTTCTAATCCCACCCTCATTTAACTTAATTTCAATGCCAAAATTCAATCCACCTTTCAAAGTTTATCTCAGTGTCCACTTCCCCTACAAAGACTTTGTGGATCTCCCCAATAGAATATGATTTTTCCTTTTTTAAAATCTTAAAACATGACTCTTTACTTCTCTTATTGTATATTCTCCATCCTCTCTTACAATAGAGATTCTCAACTCATCCTCATTGTTACCTGGGATGCTTTCTAAACTTGTGTATACCTGGGCCCCACCCCAGAGATTCTGATTCAGTAGCTGGAGTGGAGCTCAGTCCATTCTGGCTGCCAAATAAGATATCATAGACTGAGTGGCTTATAAACAACAGAAATACATTATTTCTCACAGTTCTGGAGGACGGAAGTCAGATCAGCCTGCTAACATGGTTAGGTTCTGGTGAGGGCCCTCTTCTGGGCTGCAGACTGCCAACTTTTCATTGGATCCTCACTTGGTGGAAAGACAGAAAGAGAGTTCTCTGGGGTCTCTTTTATAAGGGCACTAATCCCACTCATGAGGCCTCACCTCCTTAAGGCCCCACCTCCTAATACCGTCACACTGGGAGTTAGGATTTCAACATGTAAATTTGGGGTTGGGGGACACAACATTTAGTTCATAAAAGAAGCCTACTTGTATGTTTAATATAGATTCTGATGTAGTGCCAAGACTGAGAATAATCACTTTTAAAAATTTTTTCCTCATTGAGAGAACAAAGGAGATTTTAGGAAGAGTCAATGAAAAGGTAAATTTGAATCATATCTCTGAATCTGTTTTCTTCTTTAAAATGGGGATAATAACTCCCACTTCTCTGGGTTGTTATGAAGCTTAAGGAAGGTAATAGATGCTGCATATCTAAGACTTAGCACAGTGATTAATCCATAATGACTTGTGAGATCTGAGTGTATACATTTATACTCTGTGCAAAGGATGTGAGTCACACACATATGTTCCCTGGCTGAACTTGAACACTGGCTACTAAAGGAAGCTCCATGGAAGTTACTTCACTTGGTGGCTTAACTTAGAAGCACTTCTCTTTCTGGAAAAGAAGAAATTTTCAGCATTTCTAACTCATTCACAGAACGGACGCATGAACTAATGTGGCTATAATTTCACCACATTCATAATACAAAGAGAACAGCACAGTGAAGGGTTTACACAGACTTTTTCCATGTATGATCTCATCTAATACCCTTGATGCCCTATGAGGGAGATGTTAATGCACTAGTTTCACAGGTGTGGAAATTGAACCTCAGAAGAACTTAGATTTGCCAAAAGTTGCATAAGTGGGAAGTGGCAGGACTGTAATTTGAACCCAGTAAGTTTAATTTCCACCCAAATGCTCTTTACCTTTCACCACAACTGGCCCTAACAATTGTTCTGTTAACTTGATCAGGGTATATGGACATCCATTCTGATCATGAGAGTTCAGAAAGGCATGAAGCTGAGGACATTTTGCCTTGGCTTATGTGAATCAAATGAGCCACGGCTTCACTGGGTATAATTCTGTGCTTAGCGGACGCTGTTCCTTCTACTGGATCACATTCCCCATTGGCAACTCCTACTCATCATTCAAGATTCAGGCACATGTGCTCACCCCAGCTGGTTCAACTCATCCTTTATTTTATAACTAAAAAACAAATAGACTATATCTATGCAATCTGTGTCATCTCCTCGGGCCTAGAAAGCAAAACTGAACTATAAAAATACACCTGCTATGTTGCTGTAGAACCCACATCTATATCCTTATCCTTATAAGAATATCCTTATCCTTATGAGAATAGGCTGCTGCCGAAGGGGCAGGAGGGAGGCTAGTAATAGAGAGGCAGAAAGAGCCTACATTGCCTTGTGAGTTTTCTGGGCAAACTAAATTTCTTTCTTCTTCTTAACTTGCCCTGAAACTCATGTTATAATGAACAATACCTTCATTTTTAAAACTTTGTTGGCTTGTTTGTTTTTTCTAGCAAGATATCTACTCAACAGGCGAACAACTCCTGTTCGCACTGAAGTGTAAATGACTGATTTGATTTTTGGGGGAGAGAGCCTGAGAGAACTCAGTCCCAGGGACCAGAAGCAGGTGAGGCACAGACACCACGGAGGTAGACAGTGGTCAGGTGTGGAGAAAGGATTCAGAAGGCACAAGCTGGAGCCCTGAAAGCAAATGCAGTATAGCCTTCTCCACCACTGCACCAGGGCTGGGCCTGTTGGGGGAATCCAGACCCAACCGTTCAATTTTTTAACATAGCATTTACCCAAACACCAAAAACTAAGTTTACCGAAGTTTTAGATTCTCAACTAAATCACTTGCTGTTATGTTCAGAAGAAAGTACATTTATAAACCTTGTAAGCAAGCCATTGCATCAAAATAACTCAACATAGAGTTAGACCAATGTTAAGGCATTTTCGTGGAGGAAAAAGCATTTTTTCACCAAAGACCTAATGTAAAGAAAGCCACATTAAGCCATGAACTCAAGGAGGATGAACATGACCGTGATCTTTGAACAATTTGGCAGGAAGCTGTCACATTTATATTAATACAAAGAATGGGTTGCTACATCTCTGCATGTCTACATTCTACCTCTTCATGATCCGGTTCAAATTCCACCTCCCTCATGAAACCTTCCTTGATTTCACTCCCTCCACACCACTGCTGTTTCCTCCAAACACCCACAGCATTTTATCCAAACCTCTATTAATTTATCTCCAATACTCTAGCACCCATCACAGCATGTGGCATGTAGTAGATGACAGGAAATGTTTACTGAATGAATGTAGGAATATACATCATTAACATTAATCTGCTGTCCAGATATGTTCTAACCCAAGACACCTTTCTTTGGATCATTTTCAAAGTTCCTAAGTGACCTCAGGAAAGATCAGAACTCCTTATCATAGCATCTCAAATACACTCTTTACATATTAATACATGCTATGTATCATACATGTAGACACATGCATTTATACACAAGAATACCTGCCTTTACCAAATATGTATGCATATATGTAAATGAGTATTCACAAAGACTGTGTATGATAACAAACTACATGCATGTGGACTCAGAATAAGTGGGACCAGGTTACATGATTTGAAAAGCATGCCCAGGGGCCTCTGACAAACAGTCTCCTATGTAGCCATATTGTCTGGAAATCTCTCAGTGTCTTACTCCTTGAAGATGTACAACATCTCATTCTCCCTCTCCCTTGTCTTCTGCCTGTGAATATAAGCCAAAGTATCCAGCTGTTGAAGGCCTAGAGCTGCTGCTCCACTATGGCCCAGCCAGAGACTCAAGTGGGAGACTACCATGCAGAGCTTATAGTAGCTCCCAGCTCAGTCTCTCTAAACATACCCTCTGGGGTTGAATCCTGGCCCCTCCACAAATGAAACATGTGACTTAAACAGGTCATCTAAATGTCTCTGGATTTGATTTCATCTGTAAAATGGAGATAGTAATAGCATCTCCCTCCCAAGGCTATGTGAAGATGGATTGGGGTAATATGTGGAACACAGTACAAATGTCTGGGCAATCATAATTTTTTAGCAAATGTTCATTATTATCATCATCAGTATTGTTCTCTTTATCTTTTCCATGGAAAGTCTAACTTATAGACTAGGGATTTTCTAATATGTTGATACCAAACCACATCCTCCAGAAGCAGCTCTAGGCCCCATACAAAGCCTGCTTTGTAATAACACAGTCACTCATTCTCTCCACATACAATGAGGGAGGGTAAGTACAGAGATTCTCTAGTTGGGCTCCTTGGTCCCAAGATATCTACCACAAACCTCAAAATATTCCCCTGCATAAGTTAATTCAACCTCAACATCTTACATAGTCAAAAAATGTATCCACATAACTTCAGGATTAGTCCCTTGTTCCTTTTCCTCAACCAATTTTGTAAAAGGAAATAACTAAAACATCCAAAAGCAAAGAGTAGAAAGTTGGAGTTTTGAAAGACTGTTGAAAGACTCCCCCATTTGGGGGTACTAAATCACATTATAAAATTGCAAAACTGTCAGAGTGTAATTAACCTATGTTGCTTCATATTCCTGATGCAGCAATTGTTTAAGACATGGCTTTAAAGAGGACTGCAAGAGAGCTGTGAGTGACACATGATGCTGTGAACGTCAGGGTGCTCGCCAGGGAAGGGCCCTACCCAGAGGGACAGAAAGAAAGCCAGGAGGGGTAGAGTTTGAAGAGAAGATCATGTTCTCCCTGAAGACGCTTCCATTTCTGCTCTTACTCCATGTGCAGATTTCCAAGGCCTTTCCTGTATCTTCTAAAGAGAAAAATACAAAAACTGTTCAGGTAAATGAACTATCAGTTAGGTGATGTTTGATTTGCTGATTATTAGGAAATAGTGTGGGTTGTTTTCTCTTGTTAATTAAAACAGCCTGAAAGAAATTATTTGGGTGATTAGTTTGAGATTGAACATCTCCTTTTAGTGATTTGGAGGGTTCCAAGCTGGTAAGGACTAGGCCTTTTAAAAGCCGGACATGAAAACAAGCTGAATTCTTTAAAGGCTGGGAAAATACTGCTGTAGAGTTACCCCTAGTTGGGAAACTTTTGTAGAAGAAATGGTTTTATTTATAAAATGGTATCATTTTCTTTCTCATTTACCTAAGGTTTTTCCTTCCAGGATATCTGCAATCAAGTTACTATATGTCTGGTGCTTCCATACAGGCATTTTCTTTGCCGCCAAAAATTCCAGATATAGAAAATAATGTGAGGATGGTAGATTACAATGAACTAGAAATCAGTACACAGTAAAATCATATTTCCCAGCATCAGATTGTGGACTGTTTATAAACTCTTGGAAGCATTATAAAAGCAGAACCAATAGTTTTTTTCCATTGTTTCACAGTCTGAAAGTGAACCCAAATTTTTAAGAAACACAAGGGAATTCTGTCACAAATCTCTCATGCACAGTTTTCTTAGCATTATAGTTTGGAGAAAGCATTATTATTATTAAGAGGTTATCTCTTAATTGTAACCCCCGGGTTAATGTAAAGTCCATTGAGTGCTTATTCTATGCAAGGCAACTGCTACACATTTCACAAATATCTCATTTAATCCTCACAAGAACCTTATTGGAGCATTATTATTTTCATTTCAGAGACAAAAATATCTTAAATCAGATAAATAATGTGGCCAAGTGCTCACAGTTAATTCATGGCAGAGTTAAGATTTGAACCCAGGCCTGTCTGATTCCAAAGCGTGTGATCTGGTCAGTGTCACCTACTGCTGTGGTTAGAGTGTGTCCCTTGAATTTATGTGTTAAAGATTTAGTAGCCCATGTGACAGTGGGTCCTTTAAGAAGTACTTAGGTCATTAAGAAAGATTAATGACACTCTTGTGTGACTGGATTAATTTTTGCTGGAGTGGGTTCTGGCTCTTGCAGAACTGGATTAGTAATTAATAGAATGGGTATTATAAAGAGGGGCTGCCCTTTGTGTTTTGCCCCTTTTCACACATGCTTGCTCCCCTTTTGTTTCTCTGCCATGTTATGACACAGCACAAGGCCATCTCAGAAGCCAACCAGATGCAGCCACCTGATCTTGGACTTCCCAGCCTCCAGAATTGTGAGAGAAAATCAGCCCCTTTTATGTATAAGTTACCCAGCTTCAGATATTCTGTTATAGCAACAGAAAATGGACTAAGACACTGACAAGGTGCCAGGTGTTCACAGGCAGCATGAGGTCTAGTTAGGTTACATTTCACTGTGTATGAAGAAACTTTTAAGCCAAACTTAAAATAGGTAATTTTTAGGCTAAACTCTTTGGATTTTGACTAAATTTAACACTTCCAAAGAGTTACTTTGGTGAATAAAATGCTAATATCAATGATATTGCTGTTCCCCTAAAAGATATTTGAAATTATTTTGAAATTATCAGTTCTCATTTGAGAGGCAACATGGTGAGTTAAAATCTGAATCATCACTTGGAAAATTCCTTAATTCTCTGTGCTTCTGTTTGTTCAGCAGAATAAATAAGCCTTTTCTACAGTAGTGAAGAGGATAAAAAAGAGGAACTGCACTGATGCAACAAATACCTCAAGAGAAGTCAATTAATGTTAGTCCTAATTTTTTTGTAAAAACAAGAAGACAGTCTCCTGACTGTAGAGTAGCACTTTGCCTGTGTGATGTGATCCTCATCCCTTATGAGACACCCTTTTTTATGCATAACCATTAACTGGAGCACTGAGTGGAGGAACTGTTCTTTCTAAAAAGAGTTGTTCTCTCAAAGCCAACCTACAAATTAATTTGTGTTATTGTTCCTGTGGCTGTCAAGTTATCAGACCTCTGTAGTAACTTAGAAAGGGTTGCAAAATGACCAGAGAACTGGAGGTCCTTTCACAGCAAGACCCCTATGTGCTTGTCTTTGTCCAGGACTACCTGGAAAAGTTCTACCAATTACCAAGCAACCAGTATCAGTCTACAAGGAAGAATGGCACTAATGTGATCGTTGAAAAGCTTAAAGAAATGCAGCGATTTTTTGGGTTGAATGTGACGGGGAAGCCAAATGAGGAAACTCTGGACATGATGAAAAAGCCTCGCTGTGGAGTGCCTGACAGTGGTGGTTTTATGTTAACCCCAGGAAACCCCAAGTGGGAACGCACTAACTTGACCTACAGGTGATATCTCTAGGGTTTCAGGATACACTCATTTATCCAGTATGGACTGGGCTCTTATATGACAGACACTGTTCTTGGGATACACTAGGAACAAGTAGATAAATATCCCTGCCTTTGAAGAGTGTGAGTAGTGAATGAATATGAGAATGAAAATGTTGAGATACCGTGGGTTCTTTCCACTCCAAGGCTTCCCGTTTTAGTCTTCCTTCTCCAACAATCTAAAGAGGACTACCAGCAATGTTAGGCTGTCTCTCTAAGCACTTACTTTAGGACCCAACAAAGGCTTAATCATTGCTGGAGAGAGTCAAGTCCCTCCTTTCATACATCTTAATAATAATAATAATATCTAATATTTGTGGAATATTATTACTATTTGACAAGTAATGAACTAAATGCTTTATATGTATTTAATCCCCACGGCAGCCCTATGAGAGGGATACTATATTAGTATCCTCATTTTATGAATAGGAAACTGAGGTTTAAAGACATGTATTAACTTGTTCAGAACCCACATCTGTCCTCCACCCTGAGACCTGCACTCCCTCCTTATCCTCTCCAGTGGTAGCACACCATGATGCAACTCACTTCAAAACAGAACAACTCATCAGTTGATGGACTACTGTTCTAAATAACATTTAACTCTTCATACATCCTCTCATTTTGAAGGATTCGAAACTATACCCCACAGCTGTCAGAGGCTGAGGTAGAAAGAGCTATCAAGGATGCCTTTGAACTCTGGAGTGTTGCATCACCTCTCATCTTCACCAGGATCTCACAGGGAGAGGCAGATATCAACATTGCTTTTTACCAAAGAGGTAGGTACAAAGCAGTCATGCTCAGTTTTGCTTTCTTTGGCTAACCTGAAACTTGGCAAGGATCTAATACAAATGTTCTTATTTCAGATCACGGTGACAATTCTCCATTTGATGGACCCAATGGAATCCTTGCTCATGCCTTTCAGCCAGGCCAAGGTATTGGAGGAGATGCTCATTTTGATGCCGAAGAAACATGGACCAACACCTCCGCAAGTAAGTTAATCAAGATTATGTCCACACACAGCTTCTGAATTAACCTTTTACAGATTAGAATACACACACACACACACACACAATAAAGGTAACATAATATTTCAAACTCACAAAAAGTGATCATTTGAAATTTTTGCTACCTCATGATACTAAGTCAATTTGGGATTTTTTTAAAAAAAGAAAGAAAAAGACATGCTGAATCTGATTACTGACCTTACTTCTTAGGTCAGAGATCAGAAAATACAGACTACGGCCAAATCCTGCCTGACCCCTGTCTGTATAAATAAAGTTTTATTGAAACAGGGCCACATTTATTTGTTTCTATATCATAAATGGCTGCTTTCACTCTACAATGGCAAGCTGAGTAATTGCAACATGGATCATTTGGCTTACAAAGCCTAAAATATTTGCTATCTGGTTCTTTACAGATACTGCTTTAGAATATCTTTATTTTAATATTCCCAAATTTAGTGATGTTTGAAAAGAGCCTATTTTTCCATTTTTGGAAATTCATTTAGAAATTATAATTTCTATAATTAGAAATTAGCCTATTTTTCCATTTTTTGGAAATTCATTTAGAAATTATAATTTCTATAATTAGAAATTAGTCTATTGAGAAAAGAACAGACACCTTCCCTCTCATCTAGTTAGTTCATCTCCTTGGAGCTCTTCTTCAGTGGTATGCTTCTGTACAGCAAGCCACTCCTTTCAGGAGAAGGCTCCTATTAAGAAGGACTGGGCTGCTTGAAGGGAAGAAATGAGGCTGAGGACAGGTATACCCAGACCATGTGGTACTTCACAAAATATGGGGTAACAATATGCCAGAGAGCACTTTTAGAAAATAATCAGAAAGGCACCTTTTACCTTTGCTTGGCACCTGTTCCTCCTGCCATTTTCTCAACATGGGTATGTTACGAGGGTCTATTCTACCTAAGTCCATATGCTAGGAGCTGTGTGTAGCCAAAGATAGGTAATAACCCTCAGCTCCTCTCCATTCCCTGTTGCCCTCCTCACTAGTTCGGATGATCATTACCTCTTACCTGAACGAATGATCTAGATTCCTAACTGGACTCTCCATCTCCAGTATGTGCTCCCTCTAATTTTTCCTACCATTGCAGCAGGGTTTGTTTTTGGAAGCCCATCTTGGATCACATCACTCTCATGCTTAAAAGTTTCAATGTTTACACATTCTGCACCAAATAAGGTCCAAATACTTCCACTTGGTATTGAAGGCTCTTGGTGCTTGTTCATCCTTGTCTTTCTTGGCTTGTCTTCTTATTTCACGTATTCCATTCACATCGGGCTAACACCCACATTGTACATTCACTGTTTCTAGGTCACACCCTATGCTTTTCATCTTCCTCACATTTGCTTGAATTGCTTCCTCTCCCTGAAATACTCTTCCCATGCCCCACGCACCACCTTTTAAAATCTCTCTCATCTTGCCATGCTATGTATGTCAAAGGCCACCTTCTGTCTTGCCTTGTCCTGGAAATGAGAACTTCCTCTGCAGAATTCTGACAGCTTTTGTATCTCCTTCTCTGTCATCACTCACTGTGTGCTTTCAAGTTGTTTGCACACATCTCTCCTCTTCTAGACTATGCACTCCCTGTAGAGCAGAGAACCACAACAAATTGCCCACAGTTCCTTTCACGGTATTCCAAGCATTCAAAGATATTTTTCTGAAATGCACTCATGAATGCATAATTAAAAGGATGTGATGATAAGAAACAATTCTTAGAGCATGGGTAGAATTTTAGCAGGCTAATTATCAACAGGAAGTTGAACATTGCAGTAAGAGCATGGATCTTGCCATTATACCTGGGTTTGACCCCAATCTGTCACTTACTAGTTGAGGGACCAAGTACCAGCTATTCAAAATCTATGGGCATCAGTCACTTTACTATAAAAATATTGTTAATAAAACTTCAGAAAAATGTTATGAGGATTGCATAACATTAGATTGCCTAGTATGTTGTAGGTACTCTACAATTATGGCTTTTTTTAAAAGTAGGCATATACAAAAATGCATCAGTGTGTTTGTGAGGCAGCATGTAGACTGGCTGGACTGAAGGATTCATGTTAAAAGGCAAGCACTCAAATATCTGCTGGAGCCAAGTGGAGGAGGTCTTGAAGGCCAGGCAAAAGAGGTTGGGCTTTATTTGATAGGAAGTGAGATCCTGGGAAGGTTTTAAGTCTCCAGTTGTGAACGGCACTATGCTCATGGAAGTTAAAACATGGAGAAAGAGAGCAATAAGGGTAGGATTTGTCTCTCTCCAGTAGAGAATTCCTAGAGCATCTTAGAAAGCTCAGAAACAGAGAAGAGCTGGTGCTAAGCTGTGGGTGATGAGGGAGCCAACATGAGCCAGCCCTCCATCTGAGGCTGCTCCACTGCTGGGCTGGCTTCTCTTCTAACTACTTGCTCACAGGGACTCTACTCGTGAGGCTGAGTGTCTGGGACAGTGGAGATGGTGATTGTGGGAATGCAAGAGAAGAGGGGTTCCCAAAGTCATGACGGCTCTGCCATTACTTCTCCAAGTCTCAGATGCACATTTGTAAAATGTGAGAATTGGAATAAATGCAGCTTTTCTGGGTTCTAAGAGTTTATAAGAAGTTCATACTCACCTAGTCGCCATCTATGACCACTATCTTGATTCTTCTCAATGTCCACTTTCTCAGGTATCTGAAAGAAAGATGAAAAAGACAGCCATGGGAAGGGCTATTTCCCTGAGCAGTTTTGACTTGGAGGTTGCATTCCTTGAGATCATGTTTCTGCCACCCTGGGATCCACACTGAGCTGTTTACCACCCGTGTTTGCATTTCAGATTACAACTTGTTTCTTGTTGCTGCTCATGAATTTGGCCATTCTTTGGGGCTCGCTCACTCCTCTGACCCTGGTGCCTTGATGTATCCCAACTATGCTTTCAGGGAAACCAGCAACTACTCACTCCCTCAAGATGACATCGATGGCATTCAGGCCATCTATGGTAAGGTCTTCTCAAGAGAGTCATAGTACATGGTAGGACCTGGGAATAGGCGAACACTCCCAGAATCTGAATATCTCTTCCTTTGCACTTCTGCAGTTTCCATAAAACTGAACTCTGAATTTCCCCAGTAATAAAGCATTAACAAAGAAGGTGTGAGGGACTGAGCCTCTATTGCTGCCCTAAAAGAAAAAAAGTTTAAGAAGAAATGCACTACAGTGCTTCCCAGTTATTGTCTTTGGATGGTGGGGATTTTTTTCTTCTTTTTTAGGCTTTCCAAATTTCCAATTTTAAATTTTTTTTGGGGGGGGGGATGGAGTCTCACTCTGTTGCCCAGGCTGGAGTGCAGTGACGCGATCTTGGCTCACTGCAACCTCTGCCTCCCAAGTTCAAGCAATTCTCCTGCCTCAGCCTCTCAAGTAGCTGAGATTACAGATGCCCACCACCACACTTGGCTAATTTTTGTATTTTCAGTAGAGAGGTGATTTCACCACAATGACCAGGCTGGTCTTGAACTCCTGACCTCGAGTGATCTGCCCACCTCAGCCTCCCAAAATGCTGGGATTACAGGCGTGAGCCATTGCACCTGGCCCCAATTTTAAATATTCTAAAAAGACATGACTATTCTTTTTCCTACAGCAATCCTGCTCCCAGATGTATCTATCAAAGAAATTCTCATGTAGATCCATAAGGGGACATGTACAAATCATGCCAAAGATGTTCACTGCAGTCTTGTTTGTGGTAATGGAAGTTGGAAGACACCTGGGAGTCTATTAGGAGAAGACTATACAGATAAAATGTGGTAGCTGCACACCATGAAGTGATGTGCAGCAGTGAGAAACATGGTACTAGATGCACATATGGCAACAGTACAGATGGGTCTTTAAAACTTGGTACTTTGTGAAAAAGAAACAGAATGAGATATATTGCACAATGTATTAATTAAATTACACAATATATAAGTCTATGTAAATTTAAAATGTATATAAACAAAGCAAGGCATTTTTCAAGAAGAAGAAAGGGAATGGTAGTGGAGTATGGAGAGAAAAAAAGAAACTTTTTTAAGGCATCACTGATACATTTCAAGGATAAGTATAGGGGCCTTTTGCCATATTGCCTGGATAAGACCATTACATCTCTCTTCACGCTTGCCCTTCTGTTCCCTAGTTGGCTGTGAATAAAAACAAGAAACCAATAAGGGATTTACTGCTCTCTAAAAAAGTGTGGAATGGAATGGAATAGTGGATTGGAGTGAAATATAATTGAATGGAGTGGAACAGAGTGGAGTGGAATTGGGGAAAGCCCTTTTCTGTCTCTGGTGGGACAGCACTATAAAATCAAGCAAGCATGCCAGGGTGCCACAACCAGGGAACTTTTTTGTGATTGCAGATATTTCAGAAATGTTGAGCCTATCCTAACTGCCTCTATTCCCCAATTTCTTCCTCCTGCCCACCCCAACAACACCCCTTTATTTTGTTCACCAATGTTTTTATCTTAACTATTATTATAGCCTTTCATTCCACAGTGAGAAAACACATGAAAATTCAAATACTTATAGAAAAAATATTGCTAAAATTTGACTTAGGTGTATGCTATAGCGTAAAAGACTAATATCATTCTTTCCTGAAAGTGGATTTTGGTGAGGAGAGAGGCAATAGATACTGAGTGACCAAAAAAGCAGAAAGAGGAACTGAAAAGTCAGAGAAGAATTAGTTTAGAATTTAAAAGGGAAGGAAGGAGCATAGAATTCAAATTTCTTTACTTCACAGCTTGACCTGGAACTTACCCTGAAAACCATCATTACTCTTATTAAAGAAACAAAAACTTTAAAAGGATGAAATATACAATTACTTTAATACTTTATGGTATAGTCTGGTAGCACTTACCTTCACATGAAGACCCTTCACCTTTCTGAGAAGTCTCTGATGTACCCAAGAGTCACACCGGACTTACTCTCATAAGAAAGACCTTTTTTTTTTTTTTTTTTTTTTTTCCAGGACTTTCAAGCAACCCTATCCAACCTACTGGACCAAGCACACCCAAACCCTGTGACCCCAGTTTGACATTTGATGCTATCACCACACTCCGTGGAGAAATACTTTTCTTTAAAGACAGGTATAAAATTGAAATATTTCTTCCTTTGATTCCTCTTACTGACATACCTTAAAACTGGATTCAAATTAAGTCACACGTTAGTCACCTTTTCCTTGAATTCTATACTTGTGCTTCTCATCGGAATTTTTTATAGGTTCTGGGGCACCACTAGGATTATCATAGCCCCCTGAGCTTAACTTTATCATCTTCGTCTTTTAAAGACTATTTGTACCATTTTTGTGTCTATACTGAATTTATGCAATTGAGTATTTTCTGGGTAACTCAAGACATCCAGGAGAAAAAAAAAACATGAAAACATTCACAAACATTCAGATGCCTTTGGTGATGTAAACAGACATGGGCTACAGCTGCTTGGGAACCCCATAGCTGAAACACCAAAGCACCATCCAGTTCCATCCAAAATCAGTCAAGTAAATGGAACCTGCGCTTAGCTAGCTGTGCAGCAAATCATCAAACTGAGCGAAATTTTTATTTGTCCATTGGCTATTTTGTGAGTGTGCAATCACAGGCTGAGGGTACATGCTGTTGCTTTTATCAATATGTTCACAGCATTTACTGGGAGCAATAATGAAAGATGCTACAAAGTAAGATTTTTCAATGTCCAAGGCAGGACAATGCCAAATGTAATCAAATAAGATCACTCCCATAACCTTCCCTGAAAGCTGTGAAGTACTTGCCAGATGGACAATATCACTATAAAGCTTCGCCATATGCTGGTCACTGTGCTAGGAACTTTGCATTCGTTCGATTGTTATATTCTCCCAGCAATCCTACAAGGACCATCACTAGCCTAAAAGTCACAGGAACTGCCTACTTAGACTGTTATGTATAAGTGTGTGTGTGTGTTTCCTTATGTTCCGTTAGGTACTTCTGGAGAAGGCATCCTCAGCTACAAAGAGTCGAAATGAATTTTATTTCTCTATTCTGGCCATCCCTTCCAACTGGTATACAGGCTGCTTATGAAGATTTTGACAGAGACCTCATTTTCCTATTTAAAGGTAACTTCCTAAAGTTTTCATCTTATGTTAGTTCTGCCTGAAGGGAGGGGGCAGGACTTCTTTGTGGTCCCTTTCAGGTTCATGGTGAGCTAATGACAGCATTAAGCTGGCCAGGCTTTTGCCAGAAGACTAGGGTTGGGCCCCATCAGGACCACTAACTACTGTGTGAACCTGAGTGGGTTATTTGCTTTTCAGCCCTCAGTTTTCTCACCAACAAAATGAGACCACACTAGACTGTCGTTAGCATTCTTTCATCCTCATCCCAGATACAATTCTCTAAGACTCCTCAAGCTGTAATTTGGTTTCTGCATAAAAGTCACACAAACTAAGGCATCCAATTGTGGGGCCTTGAATGTCTTGCTCAGAAGTTTTTATTTTTTATAGGCTCTGGGGAACCATTAAGGCTCTCACAGCCCCCCTGAACTTAACTTTATCATCTTCATCTTTTAAAGACTATTTGTTCCATTTTCATATCTATGTGCAAGACCAAGAAGTGGTATATATATATATATATATATATATATATATATATATATATATAATTTTGTAAAAATGGAAAAGTCGTATTTAACACTTAACCTGAATCATTGACAGGCAACCAATACTGGGCTCTGAGTGGCTATGATATTCTGCAAGGTTATCCCAAGGATATATCAAACTATGGCTTCCCCAGCAGCGTCCAAGCAATTGACGCAGCTGTTTTCTACAGAAGTAAAACATACTTCTTTGTAAATGACCAATTCTGGAGGTAACGTAAACTATTTTTTCAATTATAGGTTGAAATCTGTGTTTCTCTACCCTGCTTACAAACCTTCAAGCATTTCAAGGTTTAAAACAATCTAGATAGTCTCTAATAGGTTTTACCGAGAATATATTCTTTTTTACAGGATGATTGATGTTACCATGGCTTTTGAAATTTTTCATTTCTATAAAATTAAAATGTCTATGCAATAGTATTGAGGATTCTGCATCAAGAAACAAAGAAAACCTTAACAAAGCACTAGGGTGAGATACAAAGAAAGATTTAAGCTAATTCTCACTTATGAGTTCAACTCAGACATATGCAAGCAAATGTTATCCAGATAGCCTGCAGAATTTGGTTCCCAAGTTGAACCTATTATGTATGTTTATATATCTATATACACACACAAGGGAGTTATACTATATACCAATTAAGTAAAAGCCTTGAAAATATAAGCTTACTTTGGGTAATAACAGTGTGTCAGCCATCAAGCCTGTTTTAGAATTAATGATAACCATATGTTTTATAAATGTGTACCCTTAGGTAGAGAAATTAACCATTCTTAATCCTAGTAAACAGGGCATTGTGAGAACTGAATGAAAAAATATGTGTGAGGAGACTTTGTAAATTATATACAATAAAAAAAATTTTTTTCGTTATATTCTGTATTGGTGTTAAATCGGATAACATTTTGTTTTTACCAGATATGATAACCAAAGACAATTCATGGAGCCAGGTTATCCCAAAAGCATATCAGGTGCCTTTCCAGGAATAGAGAGTAAAGTTGATGCAGTTTTCCAGCAAGAACGTAAGTAGGAAAAAAAAACCTAATAAATGTGTTGTTTGTTTGTTTATTATAGAGGAGACAGGGTCTTACTATGCTGACCAGGTTAGTGTCAAACTCCTGGCCTCAAGCAATCCTCCCACCTCAGCCTCCCAGAGTTCTGGGATTACAGGCATTAGCCACCGCACCTGGTGTTTAAATTTTTTAAATAGCATGTTTGCATTTGAATGTTATGTTGGAACAGGGGCAGGGTTTTCTAACTGAAGACATCTGAGATATTCTATAAGCTAATTCAATAAATTATCTCTCTTTTTTTATAGATTTCTTCCATGTCTTCAGTGGACCAAGATATTACGCATTTGATCTTATTGCTCAGAGAGTTACCAGAGTTGCAAGAGGCAATAAATGGCTTAACTGTAGATATGGCTGAAGCAAAATCAAATGTGGCTGTATCCACTTTCAGAATGTTGAAGGGAAGTTCAGCAAGCATTTTCGTTACATTGTGTCCTGCTTATACTTTTCTCAATATTAAGTCATTGTTTCCCATCACTGTATCCATTCTACCTGTCCTCCGTGAAAATATGTTTGGAATATTCCACTATTTGCAGAGGCTTATTCAGTTCTTACACATTCCATCTTACATTAGTGATTCCATCAAAGAGAAGGAAAGTAAGCCTTTTTGTCACCTCAATATTTACTATTTCAATACTTACATATCTGACTTCTAGGATTTATTGTTATATTACTTGCCTATCTGACTTCATACATCCCTCAGTTTCTTAAAATGTCCTATGTATATCTTCTACATGCAATTTAGAACTAGATTTTGGTTAGAAGTAAGGATTATAAACAACCTAGACAGTACCCTTGGCCTTTACAGAAAATATGGTGCTGTTTTCTACCCTTGGAAAGAAATGTAGATGATATGTTTCGTGGGTTGAATTGTGTCCCCCATAAAAGATATGTTGAAGTTCTAACCCCAGGTACCCATGAATGTGAGCTTACCAGGGTCTTTGCAGATGTAATTAGTTAAGTTAAGGTGAGATCACACTGAATTAGGGTGGGCTCTAAATCCATTATGACTGTTGTTCTTATAAGAAGAAGAGAGGCATAGTCACCTAGGGGAGGAGGCCGTATGAAGACAGAGGCAGAGATTGGAGTGACGCATCTCCAAGCCAAGGAATTCCAAGGACTGTAAGCCACCAGTAGAAGCTTTGAAGAGGCAAGGAAGGATTCCCTCCAATAGCCTTCAAGTGTGACCCTGCTGACACCTGCAGAATTCGGACTTCTATCCTCCAAAACCGTGAGGGAATAAATTTCCTTTGTTTTAAGCCACCAACTTTGCAATACTTTGTTACAGCAACCCTAGACATGAGGTACTAGACACAGTACATCTACACATATGAAAATGAATCAACACAGAATGCAGAAGTAGAACCCTTGCTAAGGACTACTGGGCATCTTCCCAGGACAGCAGCCAAAAGAGAACCACCACTTCCTCTCCTGCCTCCTCCTTGCTCTCTCCTAGAGTCCAAACCCAAATGGGCCAGTTGGATCTGATGTTCGTCAGTTCTTTACTTCTATTTCCTGGGGTACTCAGGAGGGCACACACTATAGATAACTTGGGTTAGCTGCATAAAATTCAATGTCTCATTAAGTTGCATTAAACTGAGCTTAGATGTGTAAGTTTGCTAACGGATGGGTTTTTTTGTTAAGAACTATAGGATTTATGGGACCAAGTCTAGCGAGTCCAGATATCAAAATCATTATAATGTTATATTTGCTGTTATTAGAATATAATATAGCTTATTATACAATAAATATGTAGACTGTAAAATATATTTCTCACTAGTACCTCCTATTTTCTTTCTCTGTTGAAGTTTTTAAATCCCACAGATAATTAAATTGGCACCTTTATGCTTGTTCAAAAATTAAAATAATCTATTAAATAAGTTCAAATTAAAGATTTTTACTTCAAATGACTGATTTGTGATTTGCTTTTAATTTCTTAAAATGTTACCACATAATTCATCTAAAGTATAAAAAGGAATAGCAAATTTTAGATGTTGTGCAGATATATAATGCTTGTGTCAGAATTATTATAATATTGATAATAAACTTTAGATATTGCTTCAGAGTGTGTGAAATATTTTATAAATATTTGAGGTCCTCAAAAATTTCCTCAAGTATGTTAATACATTATTCTCAAATTATTTTACAAAATAAGAAAACTGAAACAAGTATATATTATCATTCCATTCATTGATTTATTCAGCAAGAATTAACTACCTACCTACTATTAATTATGTTTCAGGGACTGTGCTAAGAAAAGTGAGAGAGATGTATAAGCGATTCATCATATCAACGTAACAAATGCAAAAGGATCTATAAGAATTGAATATTCCATTTTTAATAGTAGCATCAATTTCAGACTATCATGTTTCCTAAAACTTTCTATAATGCCAGTTATGAAAGTTTTAGGAAAATGCAGGCATGAAAATGAGTGTCTTATCTTCTCAGAACACCTGCTAGTTGTGCTGGCTATGATAGACTCTTGGCTCAAACCTCATCTATACATCTTTGAGATGAGGACTGATCTCATACTATTTTTTAACCACATTTGACAGAGTCATAGACAGTAAACTGTAATATGAAGTGTAATAAAGAATTCAGAGTTATTCCTTTTAAAAAAATTATCTTGTTGACAACATGTAGTATTTTCCAGCTATTACATTGATATTTTGAATGGGCACAAGAGATATAAAGACCTAAGCTTAGAATGCATTTATTTATTTTTTGTTTATTTATTTATTTTTGAGACAGGGTCTTGCTCTGTCACCCAGGCTGGTGTACAGTGGTGCAATCACAACTCACTGCAGCCTCAAACCCCTGGCCTCAAGCAATGCCCCACCTTAGCCTTTCAAGTATTTGGGACTACAGGCACACACCACCACACTCAGTTATTTTCTTTTGTAAAGGTGGGGTCCCACTACATTTCCCAGGCTTGTCTCAAACTCCTGGGCTCAAGTGATCCTCCTGCCTCGGCCTCCCAAAGCGCTGGGATTACAGGCTTGAGCCACCATGCCACCCTGCCTAAGCTAGAATTTAAACAATGAGATTCATGTTTATCTTAGGTTGAGATTCTTCAAAAGCAAAGCCTAAGTCAAGACATTGGTGCAATTATATTTTCAGGACACAGTCCCAGGAAGCAAGAGTGAGGTAGCAAGAAGAGTGAGTCAAAGAATGAGGAAAAGCCAATACAATTATGTGTTATCAAGGTTTCTGCTATGGGCAATTGAAGCTCAATTCCACCAGGGGCCTCTGAGAAGCCTGCAGACCAGCTTCCAGTCGTTCACATCTCCAGTGAGCAGGAGGCTGGAACATTCATCCTTCAGTTTCCATTCCCCATTGGATGAGGATGTTCCCTGAGAGTGTTAACTTCTTTACACTTCCAGGCTGTACTGTCATGCTGACCTGGAAGGCTTGATGGCATCTCAATGCTCTGGGAAGAAAGCAAAAAGACACACAGTCTGTGCTTAAAGTTGTATTAGGTTGGTGCAAAAGTAACCACAATTACTTTTGCACTTTGTCAGAGCAAAGTGAGTTACACAAACCAGTCCACCCCTTGTGCAACTAAATTAATGCTGTGGGTATGTGGCAGAGGACATCAGAAGAATCTCCTACAGCTTTGTTCCTTGGAGATTTAAATGATGGGAAATTGGATGAGCTTTCTCTGGAGTAACTTACCAGCCTCAGAAAAAAAAGAAATTACAGATACCAACACTGGAGAAATCTCAGTGTGGCAGGGCTGCTAATGACCTATCTTAACCTTCAGTCTACACTTCTTCTGCAGTGAGACTCCAATTTCATTTGAGGTAGCAATGCGTCATATTTTGTAGCCTTGCTTACAGCTAGGCTTACAGCTGGATATGGCCATGTGTTTATTTCTAGCCAAAATGTGTAAGCAGAATGTTGTGTGGGGCTTCTGGAAAGGGACTGGAAAATTACTTTTTCTCTGCCTTCCTCCTTCTTTCTGCCTGTAATGCAGATGTAATGGCTAGAGGTTGAGAAGGCAGCTGACTCATGAGGCATTGTACTGACAGAGTGGTGTAGCAAGGTAGATGTTGCCTACCCTTGATGATATGGAGCTGTCAAACAAACCCTAGGCTTCCAAATCTGGGCACTTTTTTTTAATGTGAGGCAAAAATACATTTTTATTTAACTAAGCATCTGTTATTTTGGGTTTTTGTGTTACATTCAACCAAATCTCATCCTGACTAATACATCACATGAAGGGTGTGGGAAGTGCCCCACCTCCCTGCAGTGAAGGTCATCAATTCACCATCCCTGCCTCTACACATGAGAGCTTCCAGTCTGCTTTCTTGCCTCTCATTCTTAAGCAGATTGCACAACACAAAGTCACCAAATATTTTTGAAAAGATTGCAGTGTGAAAAACAGAGACCAAAGGAGAGACTTTGAGGAACTAGAGACAATTGTAGGAGCAAAAGAAAATGTCGAAATAAACTAAAGTATACTTAACATTAACATTCTTTAAAAATAAGAAGAGACTGGGTACAGTGGTTTGTGCCTGTAATCCCAACACTTTTGGAAGGCTGAGGCAGAAGGACTGCTTGAGGCTCAGCATTCAAGACCAGCCTGGGCAACATAGTGAGACCTTGTCCCTACAAAAAAATAAAAATAAAAATATTAGCTGGGCATGGTGGCATGCAACTATAGTCCCAGCTACTCGGGAGGCTGTGGCAGGAGGATCACTCGAACCCAGGAGTTTGAGGCTGCAGTGAGTCATGACTGTGTCACCGCATTCGAGCTTGGGTGACAGAGTATGCCTTCTTTTGTTTATTTAAACAAACAAATAAATAAATATAAGAATTAAATATAAGAATATAATTTTGGATGTAAAATATGTCTTATTTATTTAATAATTTCTTATTTATTTAGTTATGAATTATGTATTATTAATTATTTAGTAATTTATTTAAATAAATAAATAAGACATATTTTATGTCCAAAAACACTAATGAAATGCAAAAAAAAAGCTTAAAAATGTAAAAGAATACTCAGAACTGGAAAGAGTTCTTGGAAATTAAATGTCTTAGCTGAAATTAACAATCGGTGGGCTGGAAAGTTAAGTTGGTAGAAAATAGGATATATTAGAAGCATAAAGACTCAATCTAGGAGGTCCAACAGATATGGAAAGAAAGAAGAGAAAATGAATGGGTAGAAAAGGAGAAAATGAATAGGAAGAAATTATAACCAAAACTATATTGGAAAGTTACCTTAAATTGAAGTTTCCATGAAAAAAAGGTCCACTTACTGTCCAAAAATGTTAATACAAAAGACCTACATCAAGAGCATAACTATAAAATTTATAAATATCTAGGTAAAGAGAAGATTTCCAAAACCTTTCAAAAGAAAAACATCAAGAATCAGAGTATAAAACTTTTCAACAGCAGCACTAGAGTCTGGAAAATAATGGAATCTTCATTATCCTTCAAAGTTCTCAGGCAAATTTATTTTAGACTGAAATTCTGTATCCAGTCATACACCAATCAAGTGTGAGGATGAAATAAAGGGCATTCTTAGGTATGAAAAAAATCAGAATATTTATTTTCCTTATATTCTTTCTTAGAAAACTCCTGAGAGACATGTTGCATCAAAACAAGGGAGTAAATCAAGACATAGGTAGAAGTGAAACCCAGTAGCCAGAGATCTAACACAGAGACACAATACAAGTTTTCTGGTTAATGAGAGGATGACAGTTCTACAACAGACCCAGACTGGAGAAGGCAAGCAAGGGGTCTCAGAGGGATGAGTTCAAGGGAAAAAAACTGCTGCTATATTTCCTGTCATGTTTGGTTATTCTGAGAGAGTTTAAGAGTTCTATGGAAGAATTTGGTAAAGAATTAGCATATAAAAATCAATTCAACTATCAACTGCGGAGAAAAAAGGCTATACAAGAAAGGAGATGTAAGGCCAGGCATGGTGGCTCACACCTGTAATCCCAGCACTTTGGGAGGCTGAGGGGGGTGGATCACCTGAGGTCAGGAGTTCAAGACCAGCCTGGTCAACATGGTGAAACCCCATCTCTACTAAAAATACAAAAATTAGCCAGGCATGGTGGTGCATGCCTGTAGTCTCAGCTACATGGGAGGCTGAGGCAGGAGAATTGCTTGAACCCGGGAGGCAAATGTCGCAGTGAGCCGAGATTGTGCCAATGCACTCCAGCCTGGGTGACAGAGCGAGAGTCCGTCTCAAAAAAAAAGGGAAAAAAAAGAAAAGGATATGTAATCATAGTATACTACGTGATTCTCTTGTGAATAATATTTTCATGGTCATAATTGTATGAACGCTGATTACGGGCTTAAACATTCCTATAACCAAATTAGGAAAGCAGAAGGAGTGTTAAGTCCTTCTTTTCCATAGGAAGATGTTAATAATAACATTTAACTTTGAAAACTCGAGAAATAGTAGCATAAGCACGTTATTTACAAATGTGGAGTTAAACATAAAGATAAAAAGCTATAAAAATAATTTAAAGAAGTTACCTTTGGGGAGCAGGACTTGAAGGAGCGAAAGGTTAGGGCAGAGAGATGCTTTTTCGTTACAACAAGATAGCACCATTTGACTTCCCTTTTTCTGGTAACTCTATTTTTTTTTAAATTTTGTTCTGAAATATTTTAGAGTTTAAAAAACACAAAAGAACAATACAATGAGCATACTTGTACTTAGCATACTTGTACTTAATACCATTATAACACAAATCCTGATCATGTCTGCCTTCTCCCCTTCATCCCATTGCTCCAGAGGCCAATTAAACAATTTAAACTATATACATATATTAAAACAGTAAATAATAATATTTCTGAAACAAGATTTATAACTGGGATGAGCTTTAAATGCAAAGGAAGTATGTATCTACTTAGATCCTATAAGTTCCTCAGCTATGCCATATAAATTTTGTTTAGGATATGGACAAGGAAGATTTAGAAAGGTGTATCGATTGAGGAGTTAACATTTGGGAAGAAAGGGAAGAAAATTTTAATAATTGGTAGAAGAAAAGGGGAGGACAAGTGAGGGAGGACATTGCTGTAACTAAGACTGTTCCTTCATCTAAAAGTAGCCCAAGTAAAGAAGAATATATTGAAATTAATCCAAAAGGCTCTCACTAACTATATTCTCACTTCTGATGTTAATTTTGGCCTTCATCATCCATGACCTCTATGACTCTTCATCTTCCCAGTCAGCTGTCTTGTCCATGAGACCCTCCATCCCATCTTCCATAGCTGTCTACATATGTATTTTGTTCCAGTCAGGCCAGATTTCCTGCAGCTTATTTCTGCTGTGTTACCTCCTTCCCATGGCCTCTTTGCACTCATACTTCTTCTTCCTTCCTCTGTAAATCCAAATTCTACACATTCTCCAAAACCCAGAGCAAGCCCTAGTGCAAGCCCCAGTGCAGGCTGTATTTAACTTGCATAAAACCTCAAGGCCACACTCATAAGCAATGATCTGCCTTTGGCCCTTCTTAGTCTTTACAATCTGCACTGTGTATTTGCCCACTTGCCTCCTTTTTGTCCTACATTAATTTCTGTATGTGTCTGAATTCTCCAACAAGATTGCATTCACAGGGGCAGGCAAACAGTAGGAATTCAATAAACATTTGAAGTTTATCTTAGTTAATAAGGGTAATCTGACTCCTGATTCATTTGTCTTTTTATGATAACATCCTACCAAGATATTCTGAGATTGCCTTCAAAAGAAAACTTTGCAAGGAAAAAAAAATAACTTGGAGGCTCACTTCCCAGTATATTCAATTCAGTAATAAGCACTAACTGTGTTTACTAAACAATTGCAGGCCAAGATTACAAAATCAGCTCAGTCAAAAAAAAAAAAAAAAAAAAGCAAATCATGACACACTTTATGGCAAGTGTCCCTTTCTGTTATTAATTAAATGATGATACAAGCCAATTCATGCCACGTCTCACTATTATTTTCTAAATTCTGTGCTAACAGAACCGGCTTCAGCTGAAGAAAGAGAGGAATGAAGCGCCTTCTGCTTCTGTTTTTGTTCTTTATAACATTTTCTTCTGCATTTCCCTTAGTCCGGATGACGGAAAATGAAGAAAATATGCAACTGGCTCAGGTACTGTCTTAATAAATGATATCGATGACTATTGATAAAAAGCTTATTTTATTGATTCTCTTGGGACCTAAAAAGAAAACACATTCCTGCAAAAGAGTCCTGAACTTTTTTGTGAGAAGGAACTGCTTTTCATTTGTCTATCTCTGACGATATCAGGAAATTGTGTTGGGGAGGAGGGCTGGCACAGGGAGGGGGAAAGGATCTGCTATAACTTTTAGCAATGGTCACAAATGAAGGGATGTTTAGTGCGAGGAGAAAGGAGAGAGCCCTGCAAGGTATGGAGATCACTATAAAAGCATTTCAAGACAACCAGGAGGACCCAATCTACAATTTGGAGCCCTAATCCCTATATGTATGAAAAAAAATACATTGCTTTACAGATTCCCTCTAAAAATCAGTTCAGTTAACTTTTTATTTTTGGTTAAAGCAAATACATGTGCAAAATGGATAATCACTTATTTATCCTAGAACTTGTTTCAAAGAAACACCAAAATGAAAGTAACAGCAAAAATATGTAAGATAGGTCATCATTCAACAGACAGACGAAGCTTCATTCTCTTCTGTGGAGGTTTAAGAGCTGCGTGCTTTGGCTAATTCTGGTCACTCATAAGTCAACCAAGTCTTGGAAATTGAAAGAGCAGGGTGACTCGTTATTTTCCTCTTTGTGTCCTTCCTTTCTTCTTTCCTCCTTCACTCCTCACTTTCTCTCATTACTTCTTTTTTTTCCCCTTTCCTATTGCCAGAAGGAATTTTAGGCAATTTTGCTTTATCCTGAGATGGAGATTTGCTCTCCTGTAGTCTGTGCCTCTTTTTTTTTTTTCTTATCTTTTTGGTCAGGCATATCTCAACCAGTTCTACTCTCTTGAAATAGAAGGGAATCATCTTGTTCAAAGCAAGAATAGGAGTCTCATAGATGACAAAATTCGGGAAATGCAAGCATTTTTTGGATTGACAGTGACTGGAAAACTGGACTCAAACACCCTTGAGATCATGAAGACACCCAGGTGTGGGGTGCCTGATGTGGGCCAGTATGGCTACACCCTCCCTGGGTGGAGAAAATACAACCTCACCTACAGGTAATGCTTCTGCCAGCTTATTTCCGCCTAATCCAAAGGAACATAAAGATAATTTCCAAGGAACAGAATAATATTCATTCAATTGACTGAGCACTTCCTGTGTGCACAGCACATCTTAGGCTCCATTTACGGTATCTTCCCAACAAACCTGTGCTGTAGGCTCTGCTGCTACCACCATCTTAAATACAGAGAAACTGAAACAAAAGTTTATTTACCGTGGCTGAGGTTACACAGCTCTTACTGGCTCCAGCAGACATGCTCTCATCTCTAGCCTCTGCCACCATCATATAAGCTCCCAACAAATACTGTCATCTGACTGCAGATACTTGACAGCATGAATGAAGGGTGCCCAAGAGAAAATGGGGAGACCCTGGAACACAACCAGTTTATGTCAGAGACATGTGTGTGTGAGAGAGAGAGTTGCCAAATCTCAGATGAGCCCCTCAGAGCAAAGTAGGGTGTTTCCCTCAGACATCTCAAGGAAAAGGGGGCAGGCTGACTCATTGGCAGGAAGAGGATGAGGTATGCCTTTGATCTGAGACAGAGACAGTCACCTTGACCATCACTCTACAGCCTTTCTGATAGTTCTTCTTTCATCTTACTGAGTGCTAGGACTTGAGATAAAAATGAATTTAGCAAGATAGGCAACATAAACGAGAAAAATCTTTTCCTGAGCAATTCTTGTGGTTCTCATGTAAGATTCTTAATATATGGACTGGGTGTGGTGGCTCATGCCTGTAATCCCAGCACTTTGGGAGGCTGAGGCAGACGGATCACCTGAGTTCAGGAGTTTGAGACCAGCCTGGCAAACGTGGCAAAACCCCATCTCTACTAAAAAACACAAAAATTAGCTGGGCCTGGTGGCACGCGCCTGTAGTCCCAGCTACTCAGGAGGCTGAGGCATGAGAATCACTTGAACCTGGGAGGCAGAGGTTGCAGTGAGCCGAGGTCGCGCCACTGCACTCCAGCCTGGGGGACAGAGCGAGACTCTGTCTCAAAAAAAAAAAAGTTCTTAATATATGGTACATGCACAAGACTGATTTCTACAAGCCATTCAAAAAAATGATTCTCAGTTCTTTTTAAGAATGTCTTTATAATACTTTCATATACAAGCCAACACGTACATGAGATAAATGCTGTCTTGGGATGTGATCTTAGTGAAGTCATTTAACCTCTTTCAGCCTCCTTTGTTGAAGTGTTAATACTACTGATTCATAGGGAAGATAAAGGAATTTAATTCTATAGTATATGTAAGAGTATTTCATTTAAATAAAGTGCTAATGCAACTGTAAGATAATTGCACCACACCAAAGTTACTGCAGCACATTATTGATAAGCTAGAAATGTTTTTTGTAGTTATGTGTGTATATTCATGCATGAATAAGCCAGAAATTGACATATTTTTGTTAATTTTTAAGAATAATAAACTATACTCCGGATATGGCACGAGCTGCTGTGGATGAGGCTATCCAAGAAGGTTTAGAAGTGTGGAGCAAAGTCACTCCACTAAAATTCACCAAGATTTCAAAGGGGATTGCAGACATCATGATTGCCTTTAGGACTCGAGGTAAGGTTTTCAACAGAGAGCAAAGCTATTTTTATCTCAGGAGATTTGAGGAAGCTGATCTTTTTTCCTCGCATAAATTGTATCTCAGTCCATGGTCGGTGTCCTCGCTATTTTGATGGTCCCTTGGGAGTGCTTGGCCATGCCTTTCCTCCTGGTCCGGGTCTGGGTGGTGACACTCATTTTGATGAGGATGAAAACTGGACCAAGGATGGAGCAGGTGAGTCTAATTTTCTTTATGAACAAAATCTTATTATTCTAAAGAATCCCTGAAAAGAATAGCTTTGTAACTAGCTGCTTTTTAACTGTAAAGTTCCCAATGTCCCCACAATTTTCCATATTCCAAGATGACCTTGATGGAAGTGTTCAATACACCCTCATAAAGTGGCTACTTCTACTATGATCAGAGCAGTCTTCATTATTTATACATTCATTCATACACCCATAATGTCTGAGGGGCCACTGTGTGCCCGGAACTATACAAGGTGTCCTATGGACCCCAAAGTTGTACTAGAAAAGTGTAAGCCTTCAGAGGTTCATGATCCTGTGTGGTACACAAGGCCAGCCCACATACCTGCCATATAAGGCAGAAGATGTTTTGTGTTGTACCAGTGGCAGAAGTCATCTGTTGCTTGAGGATTGAAAGAAGACTCTAGGGAGGTGGTAATTTTGAGTTAGCAATTAAAGGACAGTATATGGATTCATAGCCCATAGAGGCTCTAATTCAAAGCATGAACTTCCTCTTCTAACTCTTGCCCAGCTGCAAAGGAATCAGACCTTAATCCTTATATTTGACTTATTTCTTCAAACCAAGTAAGTTTATTTTATTTTTCTCAATGGGTCTGCCTGGCATTCAAGGTGTTTTACTACTGTTCTGACAAAAATATCAAACTGTACTATATTAACAGGTAGCAATGTAGGCCTCAAAGAAAAGAGCAAGCTCAATAGATTTTTGGGTCCCCCATTCTTTTGTTCTGTCATTGGCAATAGTTACCTTGGGTCTGGTGTCTAGCTTCCAGAGTCACAGGAAAGCACAGGTTGTAGTGGTCCTGATGGATAGTATACAAGGACACAGATCATTCCCGACCATGTATCTCCAGATAATCGGTCTAGATCAGCTTTGCACTTTCTGTGAAACTAAAAGTCTGTCACACAAAATGGTCCATGGCCACTCACTGCTCAGTCAGAACAGGTGATGCAACTGTTTTTCCAAGTGCCAGTGAAAAGGGCGAAAGTCAGTACTGGCTGAGGTTCAGGCAGCAGCAGGCAAAATCTGGGATTGGCTGCTGCCATTGCCACATGACTTAGCATCACAAGCAGACAAGAAATTGAAGGAGGTAAGATAACATTGTCACCCAAGCAAGAGAGGAAAGGAATGAACCATGTCTGTTGTGTATCTTCTGCTGAGACATGTTTCAATATTTCTTTGGTATTAGTCTGAAGACACTGCGGGTGTGTTTCACCAAACAGTTACAGGAAATATCCTAGCACTTGCCAAAATCAGAATGACTCCCCTTGCTCAGCCAGGCTTTACTTTCATAGCTAGAGGCAGAGATCAAAGATTTCACTATCCTTTTGTCTCTTAAATCCAATGCTAAGTAGCAGTTCCTCTTACCCATACTGCTTTAAGCCCTCTGCCAAGGGGGACATGTGGGGTAAGTTATTTTTTTTTAAGTCCGATGTATCTGGGTTCCACATCGGTAAGGCTCGCTTGAGCAAGGCAAGAGATAAATACAGTCCTCAACCAAGTTCTGGGTGGGCAACCAGGCAGCAGTTCCAAAAAGGATTGTCTTCTGACCACTTTATTTCAGTCCCTCAGAGTAGAAATTGTGGGCCCTCTGTGATCCAATTGTATAACTCTTAGTTCACTGACATTAAAGGGGAAAATACCTTCCTCTTCTCCAATGGAAACATAAAATATCAAGCAAACGTAATCTCCAACAAAATTGCAATTTTTAAAAAATAGGCAATTCAGCAATAACCTATATGATCACCTCTTTCATTGCAATGTGGAGGCTCTGTTTTATGGAAGGGTGGCAAAAATCTTGGTGTAACTTGCTTAAGAGCAACAGACACATCATCTGCCAATGATGCTATTAAGCTGCTTCCTCCGGGAAGAACAGGTCATCGCATGGGGATGTCAGAGGACTTTAAGCACATACAGAGATTTTCCTGAGAGTCTCTCAAAGCAAAGCCAGGTGCCAAGCCTATTGTGAGTGTGTGTGTGGCACACACGTGTGCACCAAACAACTGAACAGGCCTTACAGACTGCTACAGATGCAGTGTTGGGAAGGAGAAAAAGCAATGGTTTGTAGTTTGGCAGACACTGGTTCCTTTCAGGGCTTCCCATTGACCAGCTGAGGGACCCGGGGCAAGTCAAGTAATTTTCTTACTCTCTATTTCTTTGCCTGTAAAAGAGTAATGATGCTCTTCTTTTAGGAGGGTGAAATAAATTACCCTTACCCTAACTAGGTTAATAAAGGTGAAAACCCCTTTCAGAGCAGTTGTCCATAGTGAACACTCAGAAAGTGCTTGACATCAAAGATTCTGTTGACAATTGTTAGTATTGATGATGATAATGATAACTAGGGTGGAATTACATTCTAGGCATAAGGAAAAATATTTGAAAAGCTATGAATGTATAATGCACAAATTTGTCTATTTAGTCACATCTCCATGAGACAGAGACTTTTGTCATCTTTTACCTACAGCGTCATATGGCCAATAACAGTGTTGTCACATGAGAAATACTCTACAAATCATTGGTAAATAAAGTCACTCAATGATCATTTATTGAACATCCACTATGACTCAGGCTCTGTCATAAAAATGAAATATACCCTTGTATATAGGACACAGAAGCTGCCCTCCAGGGCTTCACTGTCTAAGGGACACATAGACAATTAAATGGCAACTAAAATCAGTAGGATCAGTACTGAGATAAAGGAAACTATGGCAATGTAATAGGTCCTCACAGAAGAAAGTCCAACCCAGACCCACAGGTCAGCAGAGGAAGCTATGTCAAGCCTGAGAACTGGAGGCTCAGCAGGAACTAAGAAGACAAAGTAGGGTGAAGAGGGTGAATAGGAGTGTTCTGAACAGAATAGCTCAATCCAACATAAGGAATAGAATTGTAGAAGACAAGGCTAAAATGGCGAATAGGATTCAGATTACAGAGGGTCTTGAAAGCCAGAATAAAGATCTGGACTTCATTTAGAAAATCTGAGCTTGAATTATTTTTCCCAACAGTCATTTTTCCAGTTCCTTGTCCAAAAGCACACACAGTGATATAGCCAGCCAGGCAAGGGGCAGCAACAAAGGCAAGAGCAGAAAAGTGTCAAAGACCATGACATAATTCTTTGCCCTTTTACGTTTGCTTCATGCAAACATCACTAGGCAAATTTCCATCAGGGAAGCTGAGGTTTTCCTTAGGCTCCATGCACTTAGTTGCAAAGCCAGGGATGGACTTTATGTATGTATGTATGTATTTATTTATTTATTTTTTGAGACCGGGTCTCACTCTGTCACCCAGGCTGGAGTGCAGTGGTGCGATCTCGGCTCACTACAACCTATGCCTATTGGACTCAAGCAATTCTCCTACCTCAGCCTCCCAAATAGCTTGGACTACAGGCACAGGTCACCTTGCCTGGCTAATTTTTTTTTTCTTTAGTAGAGACAGGGTTTCTCCATGTTACCCAGGCTGCTCTTGAACTCCTGAGCTCAAGATATCCACCCACCTTGGTCTCCCAAAGTGCTGAGATTACAAGAGTGAACCACCACGCCAGGCCCAAGAGGGTGGTCTTCTATACTTAGAGCCTTACAGACTAGTGGGAGAGGCAGACAAAGACAAAGGCAATTCTAACATGCCTGGTAAGACTTCTGGAAAGGGCACTATGGTCATGTTTAGGAAACACATCTAACCATTTTTGCATTAGACAACACTTGGACATCCATTAATCATTATTAAGCAGTCACAATCACTAGGAATAAAAGATAATTAAGACATGGTTCCTGTACTCAGGGTGACAGAAACAAACAATGCAGTCCTTACGGGCTATGACAGAATCAAGTGCTGAGTCTGTGGAAGCTGGAGCCATGCATTTAACTCAACCTGGATAAGACCTGGAGGGATAAGGGAAGTTACATGAAGGAAATAACTTTAGAGGGGAGTCCTGGGGAATAAATAGGATAGTTAAGCCAGGAGAAAGTGGAAGAGATATGTTATTAGCAAAGAGACAAAGGTATGAAGACATAGAGATTAGAAAGAACCTGACACAGATGAAAAATGCCAGCGATTTAACATAGTTAGCTTGCAGAATATGAAAATAAAATATAAGGCTGAAAATAGGCAGGGACTAGACCATGGAAGGTCATGTGAAGGTGTTTGGACTTTATCCTATAGCAATACAGAACCTCTGAAGAATAGAAGTAGGAGCAACATGATCACATATACTGTAGTCTAGCAACAACCCCAAACTGGTGGCTTCTTTTTTTTTTTAATATTATCCATTTCTGAGACACCGGTTTCAAGCCATTTTCTTACCCTAGGCTATATTTTTCCATGATGTGACTAGTACCAATTAAAGTTATGTGCCATTTAATCATATTTTGGTCAACTATGGACTATGGATATGACAGTGGTCCCATTCGATTATGATGGAGCTGAAAATTTCCTATCACCTAGTGATGTCACAGCACAACACATTACTCACATGTTTGTGGTGATGTTGATATAAACAAACTTACCGTGCTGCCAGTCATATAAAAGTTCAGCACATACAATTGTGTGAAGTACATAATACTTGATAATAAGCAACCATGTTACTGGTTTATGTATTTAATGTACTATACCTCTTATGGTTATTTTAGAATGTACTCCTACTTGTACAAAAAAAAAGAAAGAAAGAAAGAATAGGTAACTGTAAAACAGCCTCAGGCAGGCCCTTCAGGAGGGATTCCAGAAGAAGGCATCGTTATCCTAGGAGATGACAGCTCCATGCCTGTTATTGCCCCTGAAGACTTTCCAGTGGGACAAGATGTGGAGGTGGAAGACAGTAATACGGATGACCCTGATCAAAGGAAGGAAATATTTTTGTACAGCTGTACAACAAGTTTGTGTTTTAAGCTAAGTCACAATAAAGTCCAAAATTTTAAAAATTTAAAAGTTTAGGCCAGGTATGGTGGCTCACACCTGTAATCCCAGCACTTCGAAAGACCAAGCCGGAGGATTGCTTTAGCCTGGAGTTCAAGATCAGCCTGGGCAACATAGTGAGACCCCCATCTCTACAAAAATAAATAAGAAAATTAGCTGGACATGGTGGCATGCACCTGTAGTCCCAGCTGCACAGGAGGCTGAGGGAGGAGGATTGTCCAAGCCTAGGAGTTTGAAGCTGCAGTGAGCTGTAATCACACCACTCCAGCCTGGGCAACAGAGCAAGACCCTGCCTCAAAAAAAAAATTTATAAAGTAAAAAAGTTACTGTAAGCAAAAGTTAATTTATTATTGAAGAAAAATATTTTTAATTTGGTGTAGCTTAAGTGTCTAGTGTTTATACAGTCTACATAATGTACTGTAAGTCCTAGGCCTTCACATTCACTCACCACTCACTCACTGACTCACCCAGAGCAACTTCCAGTCCTGCAAGCTCCATTCATGGTAAGTGTCCTACATAGCTGTACTATTTTTTATCTTTTATACCATATTTTTACTGTACCTTCTCCATGTTCAGATATGTTTAGATAGACAAATGCTTACCATTGCGCTAAATAATTGCTTACCATTGTGCTACAATTGCCTATAATATTCAGTACAGTAACGTGCAATACAGGTTTGTAGCCTGGGAGCAAGAGGCTATACCATGTAACCTTGGTGTGTAGTGGGCTGTGCCATCTAGGTTTGTGTAAGTGCACCCTATAATGTTTGCTCAATGATGCATTTCTCAGAACATATCCATATCATTAAGCAACACATGACTTATTAGCATTGCAATACCTCCCAGATAAATGGTGGTACATATGAGAATTATCTGCTGTATAGCAAGCCTTTATTTCATTCCCCTTAGTTACTTTCTAATCTCAGATGCAGCCATTCTCTTTTTGATTAAGTCATGTGCTCGTGTTTTCCCTGTTATTATCAAGGATTCAACTTGTTTCTTGTGGCTGCTCATGAATTTGGTCATGCACTGGGGCTCTCTCACTCCAATGATCAAACAGCCTTGATGTTCCCAAATTATGTCTCCCTGGATCCCAGAAAATACCCACTTTCTCAGGATGATATCAATGGAATCCAGTCCATCTATGGTGAGCAAAATTATAAATCTCAATATATGTGAACTAAATAGGAAGCTTTTCAGAAAGGAAGTTAAGAAAATCACTTCTTGAAATATTATCATGAAGCAAATATCCACTTAGGTAAGACCCTTGTGTAGGCATATTTCTTCATGCCCTCTTAATTCATTGTGGTATTTTTTTTCTCATCAAAGGAGGTCTGCCTAAGGAACCTGCTAAGCCAAAGGAACCCACTATACCCCATGCCTGTGACCCTGACTTGACTTTTGACGCTATCACAACTTTCCGCAGAGAAGTAATGTTCTTTAAAGGCAGGTAAACTCATTTCTCTAAACACCTCAACTTCCTATGAAGATTTTTCTTTTCAAGAGATTTGAGGATAAAGAGGTAGTCATGGGGCTAGTGAAAATGTGTGCCTTTTATCTTCATTTTATAACTGCCTATACTGTTTGAATGCTTTACCATATGTGTGTCTCTTGTAGTTGTTTGATAAATTTTTAAATGTCTTTAAGGAATTTTAAAAATTGCCATTGCATAAGAAAGGGAAATAGAGTCCACTTTCAGTGACTTTTTGGCCAGAAGAGTCCACCAATCCCAGTGGCCTACTGAAGCCAACTTACACTCCGTTACAGGAGTCTATTGTTAAATTTTCAGGAATTTTGCAAACCAGTTCACATCACATAGGCAGCTTGAAATTGGCCATGGTTGGAGTATTTACATCTGAAAATCAGCAAATGATTAAAGTCATGTCTTCTTCCCACCTGGAGAGCCAGTTGTTAAACATGGGTCAGCACCTCACTGAACGTTTCTTAAAGTTGCATCAATAAAGTGTTAGCTGTAGTGGGAAATCCCTTCTCTCACTACAATTTATTGAACTTAAGTTACAGCATGGTGTGTCAGTTATGTAGACCATGACCATATTTTTATAGCAAAATACCAAGACATACACCATTGACAAAGATATAGGGGCAAAAGGAAAGAATATTTGAAATTGGACTCCTTTCACCCATGAATATATCGCGTTACAATCACATGTTATCACCACCATTCTCTGACCAGCAGAGGCCAAGAGCTACCCACCATGAATGTCACAGAGGAGTGGCCTGTATGTGGAGGGAAATGGAATATAAGGACTTTTCACGTCTCATTCATAGACTCAGAATTTTGCAGCCAGAAGGGAAATTCTGAAGAAGTATTTTCGCATGTCAGTGATTACATTTCTTTATTCCAGCAAGCATCTGCTTCAAAAAGTTCCTCTTAGGAATGCTTGGTGTTGGCTTAGAATGTTGGGTGTTGCTGCTTTGGCAAAAACAAAACCATTGAGCACTCAGAACTCAGAATAAGATTTCCATGATGAGTTTGCCACTCTACGGATCCAAGAGTGGGCACAAAGGCATGTCCTGGACTTGGAAGTCCCAAACTGAACTGAACTCACAATCACCTAAATTTACTGGGGAAAATTATGCTAATTATCTCAATTATTTGAGGAAGATACCAACCAATTAGCTAAAAGGCAAGCCTAAGATTACAAAATTCTCATTGACATGGAAATAGGCTGCATGTGTAAAGTGTTTTTTGTTTAACACAGGCACCTATGGAGGATCTATTATGATATCACGGATGTTGAGTTTGAATTAATTGCTTCATTCTGGCCATCTCTGCCAGCTGATCTGCAAGCTGCATACGAGAACCCCAGAGATAAGATTCTGGTTTTTAAAGGTAACCTGGCCCATCCCGATTCCTCTTCTCCCTCTGGCTGCCTGAACTAACCAGTGGATATTTTGGTGTAAGAAATAAAATCTTCATGCATGAGCCAAGGCGCAGGGCTTTTGCTCTCATCTTAGGTTCCTGTCGTAAAGAATATAAATAACCAGGATTCTCTGTGGCTGTGAAGATAAACACAATCCTAGTTGCACAGGGACTAAAATAAACCTGTGTGATAAAAACTAAAAAAGTCTCTTTTTCTGCCAAATAAAGGTAATTAATCTGTCTTTAATGTTCACTTTTTACTAAGGTTGCCAGATTTGGCAAATAAAAATATAGGACACTATAAATTTCAGATAAACAACAAATAATTTTTTGGTATATATATATATCCCTTAAAATATTTTGTATTTATTTATACCAAAAGTTAGTCATTGTTTACTTGAAATCAAATTTAACTGACATTTTCTGTTTAATGATCATGATCTTATCAGATTACTAGCCTTTGAGAGCACTTGGGGGCTGAAACTTAGGAGAACATGTCCAAACATACTTCATTTTAAAAATTTCAATTGACATAATAATTGTACATATTTATGGGGTACAATGTGATGTTTAAATACATATATGCATTGCTTACTTGATTGTTTTGACAGAGTTAGCCAATTAAAAGCAATCAATGCAATGAAACCAATTGACAAAGGTACGCATACTATTGACTTTTACAGGTATATATTATTTGTGTAATATAAATAATATGAGCAGCTAAAGAAAGTGGTAGGAATGAATGTGGACATAAGATTATTAAATCTCTAAGCACTGAAGCTAAAAGGAACTAGGTATCTAATGATTTTTAAATTTCTTGAGATACCTATTTCTCCCTCTAGAAAATAAATAATCACTCCTCTCTTCCTAGATGAAAACTTCTGGATGATCAGAGGATATGCTGTCTTGCCAGATTATCCCAAATCCATCCATACATTAGGTTTTCCAGGACGTGTGAAGAAAATAGATGCAGCCGTCTGTGATAAGACCACAAGAAAAACCTACTTCTTTGTGGGCATTTGGTGCTGGAGGTAAGTTTACAGACAATTGACACTTTGTTTTATTATGGAGAAAAATATTCACAATAGCATCACTTTGACACAGACAAAATTAAAATGAATCCATAATATTTTTTATTTTTTTATTTTTTTTGAGATGGAGTCTTGCTCTGTCTCCCAGGCTAGAGTGTAGTGCTGCAATCTCTGCTCACTGCAGCCTCGACCTCCTGCTTTCAAGAGATCCTCCTGTCTCAGCAACCCCCAAGTAACTGATACTACAGGCATGTGCCACCACGCCTGGCTAATTTTTGTACTTTTTGTAGAGATGGAGTTTCACCATGATTCTCAGTCTGGTCTCGAACTCCTGGGCTCAAGCGATCCACCCACCTCGGCCTCTCAAAGTGCTGGGATTACAGGCATGAGTCGCCACGCCCAGCCCATAGTCTTCTTAAAGTGAATAATGAAGGCAGTGGATGACATTTATCAAGCCGAAAGAGATCTCAATGAGTCTAATGACTTTCCTTCAATTTAAAAAAAAAGATAAGATAAAATAAAAAGTTGGTGATCCCAACCAAATTGCCAATGACACAAACATATCTAGTGAAAAATTTTGAAAGCTCCAAGCTCAGCCTTCAATCTGATGTAACGATTTCTCTGAATAGCATCAATCTAACATATGTTGTGCCCTTTTTCCCTGATCATTTCTTGTTTGGAAGATTCTATAAATGATTCAACCAAACATAATCTTTACTGTATTTTTATTATTGATCCAATTAGTTTTCCTCTACTATGCCTATGTATTCCCCACATCCCTGCTTGACTCTAAGTTGTGCGGTAGACAAATTAAGCTCCCCAAACCAAAGATCCGCTGGTATCCTTTCATATTCTTGTATGCAGGTTTGATGAAATGACCCAAACCATGGACAAAGGGTTCCCGCAGAGAGTGGTAAAACACTTTCCTGGAATCAGTATCCGTGTTGATGCTGCTTTCCAGTACAAAGGTAAGCATGGATGTCTCACTTATTGGGATACTTGAGAGACTGTGTTGACTGTGAAAAAAGACAGCACAAAAACTTAAATGCTTTTATTTTAATGCAATTTTGCTACTCTTAAGTATATACAATAATAAACATTAACCCCACAAACATTATCACAAACTGAATCCATAAATCCTGAATTATACTCTCTGTTATACTATCTCAAATCTATGTAAAAAGTACCAAATCCATTTTACTCATCATTGATAAGTAAAGACACCCCCTAAAGTGTGCGAAGTGACTAAGCACATGAACAAAACAATGATTCTCAAACTTTAATGTATGTACCTTAATGTACATAGCTTGGGGTTTGTGTGTGAAACAAAGTATTTGAGGCAGAATTGTGAGTGATACCTAAGAATCTGCAGTTTTAAAAGAACCTCAGGCAATGTAATGAATACAATCCAGCAACTATATCATCCAAGACAATGACCTAGACCATGGGGTAATCTAGAAATATCTTTGAGTGACATGATCTATTATTACAATGAAATCTAACACAGAACCTCAAAACCTAAAACAGATCAAAGTAGAACGGCTCTAAGAAAATGAGAATATAGAGACCAAGGCCATATCCACAGGGGCCTTTTCCTCCCCCTCACTGAGACACTTTGTTGAAGCCTAGTTTGAAAACCTCTGGCATAGACCACAGTCTGGCTAGAAAGGTAAAAAGTCCCTTGAAACTCACCCTTTATAACACTGGCTTCCTCCTTAGGGAAATAAAAATAATAGGATTTCCCACATGACAGTAGAAAACTAAAATGTATGTATGTGATTCCACAAATTTCTTCGTTCTCCATAATGTTATTTTTTTCCATGTTTATAAAATTTAAAAGTATGGAAGTATTATATAGTTATGAAAGATAACTAATCCTGATTCCCTGTCTCTAGGATTCTTCTTTTTCAGCCGTGGATCAAAGCAATTTGAATACGACATTAAGACAAAGAATATTACCCGAATCATGAGAACTAATACTTGGTTTCAATGCAAAGAACCAAAGAACTCCTCATTTGGTTTTGATATCAACAAGGAAAAAGCACATTCAGGAGGCATAAAGATATTGTATCATAAGAGTTTAAGCTTGTTTATTTTTGGTATTGTTCATTTGCTGAAAAACACTTCTATTTATCAATAAATTCATAGACCTAAAATAAACCTCAACAGGTCTTTTAATATAAATTCTGCTTCAAAATAGAATAAAACCATTCTTTAACAACAAGTTGCTGGTCCTAGTTCTAAATATCCAAATTCAATGGCCATTTTGAGCTGCCTGATTCTTTTAATAGGAAGTTATTATGTAGAAACAAAAATCTCTGACTGTACTTTAAGCCTATTTCATGCTTTGTGGACTTGGAGAAGACATGTCTTATAACTGAATACTGAAACATTTATTAAACCAATCTTTAGCATTCTATTTTGTCTGGACCTTTGGAGTTTAAGAGCCCCAATAAACTACAGTGCTCATCCCTATGCATGTTCTGAACCCATCAATCAAGTAAGTTACTCCACCTCCCAAAGAGAAGGGTGACAGCCTGGATAGATGCAGGGTGAGTTACGTTAGAGGTTATTCTCTGACAAGTAAGGAACTAGCAGAAGTAGGAGAGAAGTGTTCCCCCAGCCTCACAAACATTGACCAACGCCGTTAAACATTCCTTAGGGAATATAAAATTAAGTTTTCTGCACACTGATTTCAGACACAAGAAATGTGAGGATTTTCATCCTGTGTTTGTGGTATATGTGCATCATCTGAGCCTATGGGTAGAAAGTTTCTGTACTCTTTGTTCCATCATGGATTTGTTGACTTTCTAAATGCTTATGGCTTGATTTTATCATTATACCCTCAAAGTTAAGTGCTTAGCAAAGCTCTTAACAAAATTTTTGACCCAGAAAATGGGAGATTATCAGTGGAACTTGCTTCTGATGAGGTGATATATTGGGCATTACGTCAACTGATAGAAAATAGGCATAGAAAATCACACAAATTCCTACAGTTGGTCCCCACCCCCACTTCCCTGGAGTTCAGTGTTCCCAGTTGCCTAAAAGAAGAGGTGCATAAAAGAGTTATTCTATGTTTGAAACACAAAGTAAATTTTAAGAAGTACAGCTTAACACTCAGCAGGTAGTAGTTAGTAGTCTTTGTGAAAAAAATATATAGTGCTGGAATAATCAAATATCCATATGCATGAAAAAAGAATGTTGACCCCTACCTCACACTATTCACAAAAATTAATAAAAATGTGCCATAGACCTCTAAATATAAGAAATAAAATTATAAAACTTGCAAAAAATATTTTTTAAAAAAATTTTGGGACTTTGGACTAAGCAAAGATTTCTTAGGTAGAACATAAAAACTATTAACCATTAAAAAATGAATGAATTAAACTTTAACATTTAAAACCTTTGCTTTCAAAAAACAATATTGAAAGAATAAAAAGTTGGCTGGGCACAGTGGCTCCTGCCTGTAATCCCAGCACTTTGGGAGGCCAAGACAGGAAGATTGCGTGAGGCCAGAAGTTCAAGACTAGCCCAGCCAACATAGCAAGACCCTATTTCTATATAAAACATATAATTAAATAAAATTTTTTTTCCAGGCGTGGTGGCTCACACCTGTAATCCCAGCACTTTGGGAAGCTGAGGTGGGCGGATCATGAGGTCAGGAGATTGCGACCATCCTGGCTAACATGGTGAAACCCTGTGTCTACTAAAAATACGAAAATTAACTGGGCTTGGTGGTGCGCGCCTGCAGTCCCAGTACTCGGGGGGCTGAGGCAGGAGAATCGCTTGAACCAGGGAGGTGGAGGTTGCAGTGAGCCAAGATCGCGTAACTGCATTCCAGCCTCATGACAGAGTGAGACTCCATCTCAAAAACAAAACAAAACAAAACAAAACAAAACAAAACAAAACAAAACAAAAGAAAAAACTGCTGGGCTGGGCGCAGTGGCTCATGCCTGTAATCCTAGCACTTTGGGAAGCCAAGGCAGGTGGATCACAAGGTCAGGAGTTCAAGACCAGCCTGGCCAAGATGGTGAAACCCTGTCTCTACTAAAAATGCAAAAAATAATTAGCCAGGTGTGGTGGCAGGTGCCTGTAATCCCAACTACTCGGGAGGCTGAGGCAGGAGAATCGCTTGAACCCAGGGGGCAGAGGTTGCAGTCAGCTGAGATCACGCCACTGCACTCCAGCCTGGGCAACAGAGTGAGACTCCGCCTCAAAAAGAAAAATAAAAATTTAAAAGGATGAAAAGTCCAGCTATACACTGGGGAAAAAATATTTTCAAAACATATATCTGATAAAGGACTTGTATCTTAAATATATAAAGAATTCTTATAACTCATAGATAAGACAAACAGCTCATTTTTTTTTTTTTTTTTTGAGACAGGGTCTCACTCTGTTGCCAAGGCTGGAATGCAGTGGTGCAGTCTCAGCTCACTGCAACATCTGCCTCCGGGTCTCCAGCAATTCTCCCACCTCAGCCTCCCAAGTAGCTGGGATTACAGGCACACACCACCATGCCAGGTTAGTTTTTGTATTTTTTACAGAGATGGCATTTCACCGTGTTGCCCAGGCTGGGAACTCCTGGGCTCAAGTGATCCGCCCACCTCAGCCTCCAAAGTGCTGGGGTTACAAGCATGAGCCACCGCCCCTGCCATCCCCTCATTTTTTTAAAAACATTAATGAATGTTTATATTTTAAATTATTTATTTATTTATTTTTAGAAAGAGTCTTATTCTGTTACCCAGGCTGGAATGCAGTGGTGCGATCTTGGCTCACTGCAACCTTCGCCTCCCAGGTTCAAGAGATTCTGCCATCTCAGCCTCCCCAGTAGCTGGGATTATAGGCGCCCACCACCGCTCCCAGCTAATTTTTGTATTTTTAGTAGAGACGGGGTTTCACCATGTTGGCCAGGCTGGTCTCAAACTCCTGATCTCAAGTGATCTGTCTGCCTTGGCCTCCCAAAGTGCTGGGATTACAGGCATGAGCCACCGTGCCCGGCCTTATTTATTTATTTTGAGACACAGTCTCACTCTGCCTCCCAGGCTGGAGTGCAGTGGTGCCATCTCTGCTCACCGCAACCTCCACCTCCCAGGTTCAAGTGATTCTTGTGCCTCAGCCTCTTGAGTAGCTGGAATTACAGGTGTACACCACCACACCTAATTTTTGTATTTTCAGTGGAGACGAGGTTTTGCCATGTTGGCCAGGCTGGTCTCGAATTCCTGACCTCAAGTGATCCACTCATCTAGGCCTCCCAAAGTGCTGGGACTACAGGCATGAGCCACTGCACACAACCTCAGTTTTTTTTAATGCCCAAAATATTCACCATATGAGTAGTAAATTAGTACATGAAAAGATTTTTCTTTTTTTTTTTTGGAGATGGAGTCTCTCTCCGTTGCCCAGGCTGGAATGCAGTGGCGCGATCTCAGCTCACTGCAACCTCTGCCTCCTGGGTTCAAGCAATTCTCCTGTCTCAGCCTCCCGAGTAGCTGAGACTACAGGTGCACGCCACCACACCCAGCTAATTTTTGTATTTTTAGTAGAGACGGGGTTTCACCATGTTGGTCAAGATGGTCTCGATCTCTTGACCTCGTGATCTGCCCACCTCGGCCTCCCAAAGTGCTTGGATTACAGGTGTGAGCCACCACACCCAGCAAGATTTTTCAATATCATTAGTCATTAGGTAAGTGCTAAACCACAAGGAGATACTACTGAATACCCAGTAAAATGGTGAACATTCAATGGAGAAAGAAACATGCTCTGATAACATATTCTTAATGTTTGCTTTCAAAGGTGTGTTGCTGTGAAACTCTGCCATTCACTGAAATAAAGAGTTTATGATGCATTTTAAAATAAATAAATACATAAATAAGATGGTTAATATTTAAAAGCTGGCCAGGTGTGGTTGCTCATGCCTGTAATCCCAGCACTTTGGGAGGCCGAGGTGGGTGGATTGCTTGAGGCCAGGAGTTGGAGACCAACCTGAGCAACATGGTGAAACCCCATGTCTACTAAAACCACAAAAAATTAGCCAGGCGTGGTGGCATGCACCTGTAATCCCAGCTACTTGGAAGGCTGGGGCAGAAGAATCTCTTGAACCCGGGAGGTGGATGTTGCAGTGAGCCGAGATCATGCCACTGGAATGTTAACAAGGGAAAGAGAGAAAGAAAGCTCTCTGCCACAGAAAGGGTTCCCAAAAAAGGGTTTCCATTTCACAGTTGAATACAGAGACTTTTATAAGGAACCACTGAGTGTTGGGTGTCTCATTTGCATAAGGAGCAAATTTCTGGTCGCTCCACCCAGTCCTCCTAGTGTGCATGCAGGCCCTTAGCTTGAGTTACTCCATATTGTCTTTGTTTCCCTTACCGTGCATGTGTCAGGGGATAGCATTTTCCATTGCAGATAAGTCTGGGTAAGTCTCCTGTGTAGACTTTCTTATGTATGCAGCTGTGGGCATATCTTAGGCAAGCCCCCCTGTGAAAGTTCCCTTATCAGTGCTTGCATGCCGTTCTTTTGTTTGAAAGAAATCAATGGAGCATCCACCCTAACTGCCTGCCTGACTGGTTTCTTCCTTCCTCACTCAGTTTGGCAATTTATTATAAAATTAAACCCACACTTCTCCTGTGACCCAATGATCCTACTCTAAATGTTTACCCAAGAAGAATGAAAACCTGCCCAAATAAGTATTTGCACATAAATGTTCATGAAAGTTTTATTTATGATAGCTAAAATCTAGAAACAACCCAAATATCTATCAGTTGATGAATAGACAAACTGGAATGTCCATACTCAACAACAAAAAGGAAGAAATGACTGACACATGAAACAATATGGATGAATCCCAAAAGCAATATGGAAAGTGAATGAAACCAGATACAAAAGACTTCATGATATATGATTCCATTTATATGAAAAATTAGAGGAGACAAAACTATAGTAACAGAAAGCAGGTCACTGATTGCCAAAGGTGGGAAGTGGGAGGAGGGATTGACTACAAAGGATCATGAGTAAACTTTCTGGGGTGATAGAAATGTTCTATATCATGATTGTTGCAGTGGTGACACTAGTGTATATATATATAGGCTGTGCAAATAAAATTAGTGAATTGTATATGTTTACTCTACTTCGATAAAGTGGATTTTAAAAAGTAGTATGACTTACTACTTAACATGTAGTAGATTCTCAAATGTTGGTCAAGTTTGTTTTCTTTCCTTGTCCCTATTCTTGTTCTGTAGCACAAATACGTGTGATATTACAGTTAGGAGAGCACCAGAAATTGCACTCATTTTTGCTTATGGGCAGTTACTTTTTCCTGGATATATATTCTTAAAAATTGACCTGTAGGAGAGGACAAGATTCAACTATAAAAATAATCCTATTTCAAATTCAGTGGAAAATCTAAAAACACAGTTTTCAAAGCATATATGTTGAATATTAGAATTATATTAAAGATTTATAACTCAAAAAGTAGGTGATATCACTCATCCTTTAAGATTTAAATAAACTTGATTTCCAAAATCCAAAATCTTATGGAGTTTCTAATGCTCCCCATCAAACAATTAGAGGGAAAAATCTTATTAATATCCTTTGGCAAACCCACCTCCAAAATCGTCTCCCCACAGTGACCTCCCCACAGATGCCAACCTTCTGCTCTTCTGTCTGACCCCTCCCTTCTTTGACCTCTGGGAGGAACCCAAGTTCCTGTTTCTTTATCTTTCTTTTTAAATGTAAACTAGTTATGTAAACCTGTTTATTGTCTCATTTAAACATGTCATTATGGCCTCCCATTCCTTGGAAAAACAGCTTATCAAGGTATCTTTTCTCCTAGAAAAGAGCTTTAAAATAAGATATTTTGATTTCCATCTGCTAGCTTGGAGGCTGGGTAAGAGTATGAGCTTTCAACCCAGATTAGTTAGGCTCATTGAGCACTTCCTCTATTTATTCACCATGGAACCTGGGGAAAGTTCCTTCTCTGTGCTACAATTTCTCCATTTGTTAAATGAGGATGCTAACAGATCCAAGCTGTAGCCTGAACAATTGGCAACTGGTCACATGCGTCACTTACAATAAGTACTTGATGTAGTTAATGCGCAGTAAATGTGAGCCATCATTATTATAATTAGATATACTAAGCAATTTATTCTAAAGTAAAAACAATTGGGAAAACTAAAAATTAAGCTCAGAGTTTCTCAAAATTGGAAAAAAATATGGGCCAATTCTTTCTGTCCTATATCATACACTTACAGAAACAGACTAGCTGGAACAACAAACATAATTGACACTTGGCTTGTCCCTTCTGGTTTTCTTAAGGGCCTGCGATTACGTCTCAAAAGAAAGAAACAGCTTTAAAAACAAGCATGAACAAGACAGTGCTGGCAATAGTTATTCATTTTGGAGATTTGAACAGCTGAGGTGGAAAAGAAATGAATTCACACAGAAAGAATGTATTTGAATTTCTTCTTGCCTGAGGACAAAGACAGAAACTCATTACAACCTTCCTATTGTTTATCATGGGTGGACTCTCCTAATGAAAAAGGAATTAAAACGTGGGATTTGGTGACCTAAAAATATGTCATGGGTTTTACCTGAAATGAATCATTTTTCCCAGAAAATAACAGGATTTTTGTTGTTGTTTTTGTTCTTCAAGTTATTTGAAACACATGACATATTTTCAGGTTGAAATTCAGTGCTTTGTTTGTGTTTGAGTATAAAGAATCTCAGAGGAAGCTCAGTAGCCAAAACATATCTTTAACATACTTAAATTGGTCACCAAATCCTACATTTTAATTCCTTTTTCTTTTTAATTTAAAAAAGAGAGCTTTATTTCTCATAATGGATTGCAGTTTTCAGGGTGGCTGTTCTGACAGGCTGGGAAGTGTAGCCTCCAGCCAGAAGCTGGAAGCAGGCACTTTCTTAAAGTTTAAGTCTGTATTCACTCACCATCCAGAAATCTATCCAAAGTCATAAAGGAAATCAAAATCCAGATTTATTGATACAAATCAGTCCTAATTTGATCTCTAGGAGAGATCGAGAAAATGTGAACAAGGTAATCAACAATGAATTTAAGACTTTCTTAAAGTGAAAAGTTTCTGAAACAGAGAAATGTTTCAGTTTGACCACTATTTATAATTTTTATAGTATTTATCGCTTAATTGACCAATATGGTTTGGCTGTGTCCCCACCCAAATCTCATCTCCAATTGTAATCAGAATCATAATGCCCACATGTCAACGGAGGGACCTGATGGGAGGTGATTGGATCATGGGGGCGGCTTTCTCCATGCTATTCTCATGAGAGTGAGTGTGTTCCCACGAGATCTTATGGTTTTATAAGTGGTGGTTTCCCCTGCTCTCCCTCTCTCCTGACACCTTGTAAAGACGGTGCCTGCTTTCCATTCCACCATGATTGTAAGTTTCCTGAGGCCTCCCCAGCCCTGCAGAATTGTGAGTCAATTAAACCTTCTTTGTTTGTAAATTACCCAGTCTTGGGTAGTATCTTTATAGCAGTGTGAAAATGGACTAATACAATCATAAAGCCATATTTGGTTTTAATCTTGAGATTTATAAATTATTTTTGCTCAATTTTTCTGGATTATACTGTTCAATTTTGTTAGTAATAAATAGTGAAAGCATTTATTTTCAAAGTTATTTGATTTGTTCATTTTTTTGGATGAATCGAGTTCATAATTTTGGATTTTCTGAACTATTTTTAGGAACTTAGAAACAAAAAGAATAAAGTAGGAAGTGTTCAGCTGCACAAATGTATAAAAATGAAATGAAGAATAGCTGAGTCTAAAACCCCTCAGGAAATAAGATAGTAGGGTTTCAAAAAATTCACATATAAAAATGCATCATAAAATATAAGGTTCTTCAAATAAATGTGTTCTCAGAAATCTCGGTGGGTTAAAAAAAATCTCTCAAGATGGATTTCAGTTAAGATGTCAACCCTGTCATATTTCACATAAGAACTGCTTTTGTAGTAAATTGTTAGTCTCATTCATTCAATAGATATTTATTCAATGTCTGCTGTAAGTTAGACTCAATGTTGAGGCATATTTGTTTATCCAAAGAATATCTATTGATTGCCTACTATGTTTTAGGCACTGTTACAGGAGCTATGGACATAGTGAACAAAAGAGCAAAGCCCAAGCCTTGTGGATCTTACATTCTAGTCAAGTTAGAGAAACCAAAAATAGACAAAAAATTGTAAATATGTCAAGGAAGATAAATGCTCTGAGGGAAAATCGAGCAGACTGCCAGTGCTGGCCCTATTTGCCTCAGATTCATTCCTTGCCCTTCCAGGGCTGGGAACAGGGTGGTGGGTGCTTCCGCCTATGGTAGAGTGCAAGTCTCAGCATCAGTTCCTTCATCTGAAGGGAGACAGGAGGACAGGAGGAGGGAGGCACCAGGTAAGGAGGAAGGGAGACACCAGACGTAGCTCTGTCTCCCTCTCTTGGCAGCATCTTCCATGGGGCTGCATCTCTTCAGTGCTACAGCTTCCACCACAACCACTGTGGCGAGGTGATATGGATGCCTTTGTCCTTCCCTCCTAGGGGATTGTAGGTGTGAGCCACTCTGCCCAGTTCTAGAAAAATTTAAGCAGAAACAACATTATTTGACTTGTATTTTAGAAAAATCACTCTGACTGCTCTGAGGACAGTAAACCACAGGAGCAAAAAAGTAGGAACTGGATATCTGTTAGGAAGCTACTGCAACAATCCAGACAGCAGATGATGGTGGTAGCAAGTGAGAAATAGTCCGAGATTATATTTTGAAGGTAGAGATGACAAGATTTACTAACAGATTGGATGTGTGATGTGATATCAACAGAAAAGTCAGTTATAACCCAACTTTTTTTTCTGAACAAGTAGAAGAATGGAGCGTCCGTTCACTGCATTGATAAAGCACAGGGAAGGAACAACTTTGAAGAGAAATTCAAGATATCCAGTAGGCAGTTGCACAGATAAGTCTAAAGTATAGAGAAGAGTCTAAACATAGAGTTATAAATTTGGGAGTTGTCATTGTATAGAGATACAGGATTGGATTAGGTCATTTAGGTGGTGACCCAGAGAGACAAGAGAAAATTGAGGACTGACCCCTAATCATTAATTGACAGATTAAAGATCAATTTTGTTGTACATTTTCCTAATCCCCACAGCAATTCCATTTATGCATATGGGCACATTCTTCCTGTTGGGTGTCCATTCTCCATGCTGTGTGTCACTGAGCTCACTATTTCACTCTGCATGACTTACCAGGACTCTTAATCCTTCTAGTGGATTTTCCAAACCAGAGCAGGGGCATATCTTGCAGGATGAGGGATGGAGGGGTGGGAAGGAATTAGCCCCTAACTTTTCATATTTTAAATAAATAGAGGCCAGGCATAGCGGCTCATGCTTGTAATCCCAGCACTTTGGTGGGTCACATGAGGCCAGGAGTTTGAGACCAGCCTGGCCAACATGGTGAAACCCCGTCTCTACTAAAAATACAAAAAATAGCTGTAATCCCAGCTACCTGGGAGGCTGAGGCATGAGAATTGCTTGAACCTGGGAGGTGGAGGTTGCAGTGAGCCAAGATGGTGCCATTGCACTCCACCCTGGGTGACAGAGTGAGACCCTGTCTCAACCAAAAAATTAAAAATAAAGTAGAACATTCAAAAGTATATGAAATCATTCATGACATTAATGTAGGTCATGGTTGTATTTAGTAAATATACAAAAGATCATACATTTTTTGTTAATGTAGAAATATATACAAAATGAGAAAACTTTGATCCTACCATCTTGAGAAAGAGCTGTTGTCTACAATGTAGGAGAATGCTGCCTTACCTTCTGCCGAATGGTCTTTGAGCTGAGTTTCTTCGGGGCCTTGTGGGCTACAGAGACTTTATTTTAATGGGTATTATAAAGATTACTGGCATTTTTTTCTTTTTCTATAAGAATAGAACTTGTTTTAAGAAACAAAAAAAAGAATCAATTCAAAAATTTTATATTAGAGAAAATATTTCTTTCAAAAACTCACTTGACCATTTTCCACTTCAGTCATTGCATTCAAATTAGGAAAACATCCTACTTTGCAGACTTCACCCCTGGTGACAAGAACAACACATTTCAGAGTGGCATGCCTCCTCAGTGACAAACACTCATGTGAAAAATGAGTTTATTGTTAAGTCCTTATCTTTACTGTGAAAGACAGTTTATCTTCAAGCTAGTTCTATAAATAATCATCATAGTAATAACTATTTGCTAAACACAACATGCTATAGTTACTTTATGCTATCTTATTTATGCTACTGACAATTCTATAAGGGGTGGGCATTGTTGCCATTTAACAAATGGAGAAATGATGCTTACAGATTATTTTTGTTGCCCAAGGTCACATGATAAATGTTATAATTCAAATTCTGTCTTATATTTTTCTATTTTCATCTTCTTGTGGAATGTGAATGTTCTGATACTCTATCATGCCTCATACTCACCACCAACACTCAAAATTAAACAAAACAAAAAACCCTTCTACACATTTGTCTGCTTACCTATAAGAACCTGATTCTCCTGTTCACCCCCAAACTTGCAGCAGCACCCAGCAGGCTCAATTGCAATGTGTTTCCTGGTTCTTCTGCAACATGTTTTACCAAACTTCTAATTTCATGGTTGCTGTGGTTTATTTGCTCAATAAAGAAAAAAGAAGGAACACAGTTTATTCCCCATTAAGCAATCCAACAACACACCAAATGACAACCAATGGTAACACAGGTTATGCTGGACCTCATGCTGCCTGCATCAGTTCATGAAGACAGTCCTGCAGAATGCAGCTGTCAAAGAGACTCTGGGGAACTCTCCACCCTCTTGGCCTGGGATTCCCTTATTTCACAGTAATAAAAATGACTAAAAATTTTGGCTTGCAAGTTATTTTGCATAGAGTTACGTAAGTAAAGAATGCCAAAAGTGACTATTTAAAGTTTCTATTTCATTGGCTGGGTGCAATGGCTCATGCCTGTAATCCCAGCACTTAGGGAGGCGAGGCAGGAGGATCACTTGAGGCCAGGAGTTCGAGACCAGCCTGGCCCACATGGCAAAACCCCATTTCTAATAAAAAATACAAAACTTAGCCTGTTATGGTGGCACATGCCAGTAGTCCCAGCTACTTGGGAGGCTGAGGCAGGAGAATCCCTTGAACCCGGGAGGCAGAGGCTGCAGTGAGCCGAGATTACACCACTGTACTCCAGCCTGGGCGACTCCATCTCAAAATGGAGCGAGACTCCATCTCAAAAATGAAAATTTTTAAAAAATGAAAAAGTTCCTATTTCACTAATTGTTTTCACATCCCTGAACTTATTTGGTTCTCAAGATAATCCTTCAAGATAAGAAAAAAAAATACTGGGGGTGATAAATTCATTTTATTCATTTATAGAGAAGAAAACTAAGATATACAATTATCTGAGGAAAAAGATGCAATTCATATTTAGATACCCTGGCTACTGGTCCTGTGTTCTTTTCTACGTAACAGTCTTTGCCTTTTCAACTTACATTTTTATTGTTGAAGATTATGTGTTTTAATCCTTATGACCCCCTTCTTAAATGATGGGAGCAAGCCTTCGGCATTTTGATATTCAGTAAAGTATCTAATACCAACAAGAACTAAAAGAATATATGTGAGATTGAGATAAAAAATCTCACGGTCATACTTCCATGATCTTGTTCAAGCTTTCACGTCCCCTGCATTTATTCCATGAGACCCACGCCTAAAGCACCAGTGGTGGTTTGGAGAATATTAAAATCCAGCTTATTGTCTTACACAAGCCAAAGAAGAGGAACACTGAGTAAATTTAAAATTTAACAAAGATGTAACAGCCAGTCACTCCAAAGAATATAAGACACTGGAAGCAGGTCTTAATGGGAGCAGACGTTAATACAATCACAGAGCTGCAGCTTCCTCAGGATATCATATATACACAGTCAGTTTGATTAGCCTGAATGCCCAAGACAGTTTCTTTTCAGTGTCCTATGGTGGCTGCAGCCAAGTGCTGACTGGCACACAGCTGGCTGGGCCAGTTCTGAAGCTTGCCTGGAAGGACTGCCTTCTGCTCCCCCAGGCTGGGCCTTTCTCCTACTGGCTAACCCCGTCCCCAACATTTAGGTAGAGCCCTTGATTGCAGGTATTGACCCAGGGCTGGGTTGGACTTGAATTTGGACTGCTGGGCCCTCCTTTTCTTATTCCATATTTCAGTACTTCACAGCTTTCTCATCACACTGGTAGTAACTTCCTCTTAGCTCTTTCTTGCATTCCCCTGAGGCAATTGAAAGGAGCACTGACTGATGATATAGTTTGGATATTTACCCACGTCCAAATCTCATGTTGAATTGTAATCCACGGTGCTTGAGGTGGGGCCTGGTGGGAGGTGTTTGGATCATGGGGGCGGATCCTTATACTTTGGTGCTGTCTTCGTGATACTGAGTTAGTGCAAGATCTGGTTGTTTAAAAGTGTGTGGCACCTCACCCCGCCACCCTCCTCCTACTCTCTCTCTTGCTCCTTCTCTGGCCATGTGACGTCCCTGCTCCCCCTTTGCCTTCTGCCATGCTTGTAAGCTTCCTGAGGCCTCCGTGGAAACTGAGCAGATGCCAGCACTATGCTTCTTGTAAAGCCTGCAGAACCGTGAGCCAATTAAACCTCTTTTCTTTATAAAAAGTACCCTGTCTCATATATCTTTATAGCAATGCAAGAACAGCCTAATATAACTGATGTTGATGTTGCACACTGGCTTGATTCCTCCCAGATTTCTTCTACTGCTGAAACTCTGAAACCTACCCCTCTTTGGAGGAAGATGTGATAACTGCACTATTCTAGTGGAACTCCAGTGAATCTACAAAGAAAAATCATTCATATCTTTTACTGTCTCTGTGGAAGGGACCATCTTTTCTCCTGGAAAACATAAAATGCATTTAACAATTTCTTCCTTAGAGCAGTAATTCTCTATTCTGGATGCAAAGTTAGAATCACACGGGAGGTTTTTTAAATGACCAATAACTGGGCTCCTCCACCCTAGACCAATGAAACCTGAATCTCAGAAGGGTGGGGCCTGAGATTCTGCATTTCTAACAAGTTCCCAGGGGGTGTTGCTTCACAGACTTTCTTTAAGTAGCATAAACTTTCTAAAATGCTGGTTCACATATGTTAGCATGCATCAAAATTACCTGGAGGTCTTGGGCCCCACCCCTAGATTTCCTGATTCAGTCGGTCTTCAGCAGACCTGAGAATGTGCATTTCTAACAAGCTCCCAGGTTATATTGATGTTGCCCATTTTGAAAACCACTATAGTTCACACTACCCCTGCCCCATCCCTACCCTAGCATTTTCGTCCTTCTAACACCACTGTGGCTACAACAGTGAAGACCTGAGAGCATAGAGAGCAAGACCAAGGAAGACAGGTGGAGAGCCCCTAATCCTTTTAGTGTTCTTGGGTCTGATTCCCTAAATTTAACTTCAGGATTTGGTGAAGGCCACCAGCTGTCACCCATGCAGTCTCCTCTGTCCAAAAGTCCCCATTGAGTGCCACGTGTTTATCAAACAGAAGCCAACCTCACATTTACTCAAGCTTCCTCAGAAGCAGTCACTCAGTTCCTAAAGAAAACAGTCACCTCCCTTGGCTGGGCCAAGGGTTTGGGACACTGGAATGAGAGGTTATAGCCAGTTGTGAAACATCTTTCCCAGAAAAGGCCAACACCCACCTGGCATCTGAGGCTTTAGGAATCTGTTTGAAGCATATGGACTTTCATTAAATCAATTTGGCAAACTACTTGGAAAGAGAATTTGCTTACAAGAATCATCTAAGGACAGAAAAAACATTTTTCTTTTCTTTTTTTTTTTTTGAGACCGAGTCTTACTCTGTCACCCAGGCTGGAGTCCAGTGGCACGATCTCAGCTCACTGCAACCTCCACCTCCCGGGTTCAAGCAATTCTCCTGCCTCAACCTCCTGAGTAGCTGGGATTACAGGCACGTTGCCACCATGCCCTGCTAACTTTTGTATTTTTAGTAGAGACAGGGTTTCACCATGTAGGTCAGGCTGGTCTCGAATCATGATGCCTGACATGACTATGTAGCTGGTCAGGGGAATGGGAAGCACCTGTTTGTAAGATAATTCCTTATTTATTCTTCTGGCCCAGGAAAGCTGCCATTAATTACTTCTCTGTTTTCATCCTTGGGCTCTGCATGAAAGGAAGAGAGGAAAAAGTAAATATAATTCCACTGTTTATGAAAAGCCCAGAGAAGTAAGAGTAACAAGCCAACTGCCAATTCTACCTGGGCTTAGCTTGGAGTGGGCGGTTACAAAAGAGGGTGATTCTATCAAGGAAGGTTTAAAAGAAAAAAAAAAAGACATTTCTAGAGCTTGATAGCAACAAGTCAGTTTCCATAAATCTCCACAGGGTTATTAGATGAAAACATCAGGCTTGGTCAGTGAGAAAATATTCAAACCAATGACCAGAAAGAAATGCAAACAGATCACAGAACCAGACATTCTGTGATTACTTCCTCTTAAACACAGACCTAGATTAGCTCTCTCTTAATCTCTCATAAAATTAATCCTTAGCTGAGTGGACCAAGAAACCCAAGTATAGTCTTCACAATTTTATGAATTTAAATCTTCGAATCTTTAGCAAGATTTAAAATTCTCTGTGCACCACATAGTGAAAACTTTCATGAGCTGAAACGGTGCTCTTTCATCCATCCTATAGGGTCTGACTATTGCTTAATGAAGGAAAAAACACAAACCTACACAACCCATTTTAATGTTTTGCTAGTTTTAATGTGCATATGAATCACTGGGGATCTCAGTAAAATGCAGATTCTGATTCAAAATGGCCTTGAGTAGGAACTAAGATTCTGCATTTCTAATAAGCTCCCGGGTGAGCCCATGCTGAGGTTCTCCAGTGAAACAAAGAAAAATCATTCATATCTTTTAATGTCTGTGTGGAAGGGACCATCTTTTCAACAACACCTTGAGTGAAAAGGATCTGTTCCACCTAAACTGGTGTTTTAGATTACAACTCTTAAAGTGGCAAGAGAAAACACAAGAGAATTTTTGGTAACATTTTTTTCTTTTTACATAAGTCACAAACCTAGGAGTCATAATGGAAAAATAGACAAATTTGACCAAATAAAAATTTAAATTTCTACATGTCAGAAAATACTATAGGAATAAAATGACAAGATGGCAGATAGAAGGCAGGACTAGCTTGCAGCTCCCACTTGGACAGACAGAGCAGCGTGTGGAGACTTATGTCGTGAACTTTTGCTCCAAGAACTACAGCAGGAACATACTAAGAAAGCCAAGAGAATCCACAGACCCTTTGAAGGGACTGGATCTCTGCTGCAGACTCCCTGAGATGCCAAAAAACTGTGAGTCGGCTTGCTTTTTCAGCAAGGAGGCTCGTGGTCTGGGGCAAGTTCTCAGCCCTGGTCACTGGCTGCCTGGAAATAGACTCAGTGCTGTTGCAGGGCATGGTGGGAGTGAGACTGGTCTTTAGGACTGCTAGCTGCATGGGAGTGGGGTGAGGCCTGTGACTGCCAGCTTTCCCCCACTTCCCAGATGACCTGTATGACTGAGCAGATGCAGCCATAATCTCCTTGGGAACATAACTCCATTGCCTAGGGACCACACCCCCATTCCCCACAGCAGCTGCAGCAAGCCCTGCCCAAGGAAAGTCTAAGCTCGGACACATCTAACCCTGCCCCCACCTGGTGGTCTTTCTCTACCTTCCCTGGTAGCTGAAGACAAAGGGCATCTCTTGGGAGCTCTAGGGCCCTGCCCACCTTCTGAGAAACCTGAATACTTAACCAGGCATCCCTAGGGCAAGTTTGCATCCTCCCTGTGGTACTGCAACTGATGCACTCTGGAAAGCACCACCTCCTGGCTGGAGGCCAGCCAATACAAAACCAGCACACTAAACAAAAATAGAACCAAGGACCCTCACAGAGTCCACTTCACTCCCCTGCTACCTCCACTGGAGCAGGTGCTGGTATCCAGGGCTGAAAGGCCTGAAGACAGTTCATATCACAGGACTCTTTGCAGACACTCCGCAGCACCAGCCCAGAGCCCAGCAGCTCTGCAGGGTCGCTAGACCCAGAAGACCACAAACAATCACTGCAGTTCAGCTCTCAAGAAGCCTCATTCCCAGGGGAAGGGGAAGAACACCATGTCAAAGGAGCACTCTGTGGGACAAAAGAATCTGAACAGTAACCCTTAAGTCCCAGATCTTTTATCTGACATAGTCTACCCAAATGAGAATGAACCAGAAAAACAATTCTGGTAATATGACAAAACAAGGTTCTTTAACACCCCCAAAAGATCACACCAGCTCAGCAGCCATGGATCCAAATCAAGATGAAATCGTTGAATTGCCAGAAAAAGAATTCAGAAGGTCAATTATTATGCTATTCAAGGAGGCACCAGAGAAAAGTGAAGTTCAACTTAAAGAAATCAAAAACATTACACAGGATATGAAAGAAAAAAATCTTCAGTGAAATAGACAGCACAAATAAAAAACAATCACAACTTCTGGAAATCAAGGACAAGCTTAGAGAAGCGTAAGATGTATTGGAAAGTCTCAGCAATAGAATCTAACAAGCCAAAGAAAGAACTTCTGAGCTCAAAGACAAGGCCTTTGAGTTAACCCAATGCTTCAAAGATGGATTAAAAATAATTTTAAAAAATGAACAAAGCCTCCAAAAAGTTTGGGACTATGTTAAATGCCCAAACCTAAGAATAATTGGTGTTCCCAAGGAAGAAGAGAAATCTAAAAGTTTGGAAAACATATTTGAGGGTATAATCAAGGAAAATTTCCCCAGCCTTGCTAGAGATCTAGACATCCAAATACAAGAAGCTCAAAGAACACCTGAGACATTTATGACAAAAAGACCATTGCCTAGGCACATAGTCATCAAGTTATTTAAAGTGAAGACAAAGAAAAGAATCTTAAGAGCTATGAGGCAAAAGTATCAGGTAACCTATAAAGGAAAACCTATCAGATTAACAGCAAATTTCTCAGCAGAAATCCTACAAGCTAGAAGGGATTGAGGTCCTATTGTTAGCCTCCTGAAACAAAACAATTATCGGCCAAGAATTTTGTATCCAGTGAAACAAAGTTTTATAAATGAAAGATACAGTCTTTTCCAGACAAACAAATGATGACAGAATTTGCCACTACCAAGCCAGCACTACAAGAACTGCTAAAAGGAGCTCAAATCTTGAAACAGATCCTTGAAATATGCCAAAACAGAACCTCCTTAAAGCATCAATTTCACAGGATCTGTATATCAATAATACAGTGAGAAAAACACAAGGTATTCAGGCAACAGATAGCATGATGAATAGAATAGTGCCTCAAATCTCAATACTAACGTTGAATATGAATGACCTAAATTCTCTACTTAAAAGACATCGAATGGCAGAGTGGATGGGAATTCACCAATCAAGTTTCTGCTGTCTTCAGGAGACCCTGCTAGAGTGCTTTTCTGGCAGCCGCCATTGGGGGGTTCCCAATTTGCTTCTAGCAAATTGGGAACACCTTGGCACCTCAAGCATAGCAGGTGCTTGACCTTGAGGGGCCAAAAACAAAGCTGCAGACCTGGTCCCAGCACCCCATAGTTGGAGCATGAAGCTCAGGAGTGCTGAGCTGAGCCCTGGCCTCCTGAAAGCATCCAGAAATGAAGCCAGTCAACTACACCCAACTTATACCACAGTTAAACTTTTCAGGGCATCAAAAAATATAAAAGCAAAAAGGCCCATTCAAAGGATAACAAATTCAAAGATTAAAGGAACATCAGCCCACACAGATGAAAAACAACCGGCACAAGAATTCTGGCAACTCTAAAAGTCAGGGTGTCTTCTTACCCTCAGACAACCACACTAGCTCCCCAGCAATAGTTCTTACCAGATTAAAGTGGCTAAAATGACAGACATAAAATTCAGAATCTGGATGACAAAGAAGCTCAAAAAGATATAGGAGAAGATTGAAACCCAATCAAGAAAACCAGTAAAACAATCCAAGAGTTGAAAGATGACATATCAATTTTAACAAAGCATCAAACTAAACCTCTAGAAATGAAAAATTCACTACAGGAATTTCATAATGAAATCAGAAGCATTAATAACAGAATAGACGAAGCTGAGGAAAGAGTCTCAGAGCTCAAAGACTGCTCCTTCAAACCAACACAGGCAGACAACAATTTTTTAAAAAATTTAAACATGAACAAAACCTCTGAGAAATATGGGATTATGTAAAGAGACCAAACCTACAACTCATTGGCATTCCTCAAAGAGTTGGAGAGAGAGGAAGCAGCTTGGAAAACATATTTGAGGATGTTGTCCACAAAAATTTCCCCAACCTTGCTAGAGAGGTCAACAGGCAAATTCAGAAAATTCATAGAACCCCTGCAAGATACACTAGATGGTGAACAACAATTCCCAAGACACATAGTCGTCAGATTCTCCAAGGTCAACATGAAAGAAAAAATCTTAAAGGCAGCTAGAAAGAAAGGGAAAGTCAGGTACAAAGGGAACCCTGTCACACTAACAGCAGGCCTTTCAGCAGAGACCTTACGAGCCAAAATAGATTAGGGCCCTGTATTCAGCATCCTTAAGGGAAAAAAAATTCTAGGCTGGGTGTTGTAGCTTATGGCTGTAATCCCAGCACATTGGGAGGCCAATGCAGGAGGATCACTTGAGCCCAGAAATTTTGGACTAGCCTGGGCAACTAGGTCAGACCCACATCTCTACAAAAAATAAAAAATTAGCCAGGTGTGTGGCATGTACTGCAGTCCCAGCTACTCAGGATGCTGATGTGGGAGGATCACTTGAGCCCAGCATGTTGAGGCTACAGTGAGCTGAGATCACACCACTGCACTGCAGCCTGAGCAACAGAGTAAGATTATGCCTTAAAAAAAGAAAAGAAAAGAAATTCCAACCAAGAATTTCCTATCCAGCCAAACGAAGCTTCATAAGTGAAGGAGAAATAAAGTCCTTTTCAGACTGACAAATGCCAGGGGAATTCATTATCACCAGACTTGTCTTACAAGAGATCCTGAAGAGGGTGCTACGCATGGAAATGAAAGACTGAGGCCTGCCACCACAAAAACACACTTAGGTACATTGCCCACTCACACTATAAAGCAACTATTCAATCATGTCTACAGAACAACCAGCTAACACACAGTGACAGAATTAAATCCTTAGATATCGATATTGACCTTGAATGTAAAGGTCTATGAATGGTGTCAACACATTCACAATATCAATATGTGTGAATGTAAAGGTGTAAACATTTCACTTAAAAGGCATAAAGTGGCAAGTTGGATAAAGAAGCAAGACCCAAGTGCTTGCTGTCAAAAGACCAATCTCATCTGCAATGGCGCCCATAGGCTCAGAGTAAAAGGATGGAAAACGATCTATCAAGAAAATAGAAAACAAAAAAGAGCAAGGGTTGCTATACTTATTTCAGACAAAACAGACTTTAAACCAACAATGATCAGAAAGGACAAAGAAGGGCGTTATGAAATGATAAAGGGTTCAATTCAACAAGAAGACTTAGCTGTCCTAAATATATATGCACCCAACCCTGGGGCAGCCAGATTCATACAAGTTCTTACAGACCTATGAAGAGACTTAGATAACCACACGATAACAGCAGGAGACTTCAACACCCCACTGACAGTGTTAGACAGCTCATCAAGGCAGAAAACTAACAAAGATATTTGGGACCTAAACTTGACACTTGACCAAATGGACCCTAACAGGCAGCTATACAGCACTCCAACTGACAATAGAACATACATTCTTCTCATCTGCACATGGCATGTAATCTAAGATATAGAACACTCCACCCAACAACAACAGAATATACATTATTCTCATCTGCACATGGCGTGTACTCTAAGATTGACAACATGCTCAGCCATAAAGCAATTCTCAAACAAATTCAGAACAACCAAAATCATACTAACCGTGTTCTCAGACCACAGTGCAATAAAAATAGAAATCAATACTAAGAAGATCACTCAAAACCATACAATCACAGGGAAATTAAACAACCTGCTCCTGAATGACTTTTGGGTAAACAATGAAACTAAGGCAGAAATCAATAAATTCTTTAAACTATTGAGAACAAAGATACAACATACCAGAATGTCTAGGACACAGCCAAGAAGTGTTAAGAGGAAAGTTTATAGCACTAAATGCCCATCAAGAAGTTAGAAAGCTATCAAATGAACAACCTAACATCACACCTAAAAAAACTAGAAAAAGAAAAGAAAAGCAACCCCAAAGCTTGCAGAAAAAAAAGAAATAACCCAAATCGAGCTGAAGTGGATGAAATTGAGATATGAAAATCCATGCAAAAGATCATTGAAACCAAAAGTTGGTTTTTTGAAAGAATAAAAGGAATTGATAGACCAGTAGCTAGATTAATAAAAAGAGAGAGAGAGAGAAGGCCCAAATAAACACAATGAGAAATGACAAAGGTGACATTACCACTGACCCCACAGAAATACAAAAAACCCTCAGGAACTATTATGAACATCACTACGCACACACACTAGAAAACCTAGAAGAAATGGATAAATTTCTAAAAACATGCAACCTGCCAAGACTGAACCGGGAAAAAGTTGTAATCCTGAATAGACCAATAAAAAATTCTGAAATTGAATTAGTAATAAAAAACCTACAAACCAGAAAAAGTCCTAAAGCACATGAATTCATAGCTAAATTCGACCAGATGTACAAAGAAGAGCTGGTACCAATCCAACTAAAAATATTTCAAAAAATTGAAGAGGTGACTCCTCCCTAACTCATGCTATGAGGCCAATATCATTCTGATACCAAAACCTGGCAGAGACACAATGAAAAAGAAAACTTCAGATCAAAATCCCTGATGAACATAGATGCAAAAATCTTCAACAAAATACTAGTAAACTGAATCCAAAATACTAATAAACTGAAAGCTAATTCACCACAATCAAGTAGGGCTTTATTCTTGTGATGGAAGATTGGTTCAACACGCAAAACCAAAATTCGTCCTCTTTCATGTAAAAACCCTTAACAGACTAGGCATTGAAGGAACATACCTCAAAATAATAAGAGCCATCTATGACAAACCCACAGTCAACATCGTACTGAACACGTGCAAAAGTTGGAAGCATTCCCCTTGAGAACCAGAACAAGACAAGGATGTTCACTGTCACCACTCCTATACAACATAGCCAGAGCAATCAGGAAAGAGAAGGAAATAAAAGGTATCCAAATAGAAAGAGAGAAAATCAAACTATCTCTCTGCACAGACAATGTGGATTATGCCTAGAAAACTCCATAGTCTCTACCTAAAGGCTCCTAGAACTAATAAACAACTTCAGCAAAGTTTAAGCATACAAATCAATGTACAAAAGTCAATAACATTTCTACACACCAATAATGTTCCAAACTGACAACCAAACCAAGAATGCAATCCCATTCATGATATCCACAAAGAGAATAAAATAACTAAAAATACAGCTAAGCAGAGAGGTAAACAAACTATACAACAAGAATTGCAAACACTGCTGACAAAAATCACAGGTGACACAAATGGAAAAATATTCCATGCTCATGGATAGGAAGAATCAATATTGTTAAAATGGCCATAATATCCAAAGCAATTTACAGATTCAATGCTATTCCTATGAAACTACCAATACACCTAAAAAAACAGAAATTGACAAGTAGGACCTAATTAAACTGAAGAGTTTCTGCACAGAAAAAGAAAGTATCAACAATAAACAGACAACCTACAAAATGGGAGAAAATACTCACAAAGTATGCATCTGACAACAGTCCCTTTATCCAGAATCTACAACGAACTTAAATCAACAAGCAAAAAACAAACAACCCCACTAAAAAGTGGGCAAAGGATATCAACTGACACCTTTCAAGAGAAGACATAATCTTAGCCAGCAAGCATATGAAACAATGCTCAACATCACTAAGCATTACAGAAATGCAAATCAAAACCACAATGGATACTAGCTCACACCAGTCAGAACGGCTATTATTAAAAAGTAAAAAAATAACAGATGCTAGTGAGGTCATCTAGAATAGGGAATGCTTATACGCTACTGATGGAATGTAAATTAGTTCAGCCCTGTGAAGAGCTATAGAAAGTTTAAACATTTCTCAAAGAACTTAAAACAGAACTACCATTTTACCTAGCAATCCCATTACTGCATATATACCCAAAGGAACATAAATCATTCAACCAAAAAGACATGTATGTTCATCACAGTGATATTCACAATAATAAAGATATGGAATCAACTAGATGCTCATCAGTGATGGACTGGATAAATAAAATGTGGTACATATATATCATGGAATACTATGCAACCATTAAAAAACCAAAATGATGTCATTTGCAGAAACATGAATGCAGCTGGAGATCATTATATTAAGTGAATAAATGGAGGAACAGAAAATCAAATACCACATGTTCTAACTTATAAGTGGGAGCTAAACACTGAGTACACATGGACACAAAAATAGGAACAACATGCATTGTGGCCTACTTCAGGGGAGAGGTTAAGAGAAGAGTGAGTGTCACAAAACTACCTATTGAGTACTATGCTCACTATCTAGAAGACAAAATTATCTGTACACCAAACTTCAGAGACATGCAATGTACCCATATAACAAAGCTGTACATGTACCCCTGAACCTAAAATGAAAGTTGAAAAAAGAGATACTTGTACATGTATGTTTATCACAGCACTATTCACAATAGCAAAAATATGGAATCAACTTAAGTGTCCATCAACAGAGAATTGGATAAAGGAAATATGGATAAAGGAATAAAATCATGTCTTTTGCAAAAGCCCAGATGGAACTGGATGACATTATCCTAAGTAAAATAACTCAGAAACAGAAAGTCAAAATACTAGCATGTTCTCACTTATAAGTAGGAGCTAAACAATGGGTACACACAGACACACGGATTGTAAGAATTGACATTGGAGACGACAAGAGGTAGGAGGGTGGGAGGGGGATGAGGGACAGAAAATTACCTGTTGGGTACAGTGTTCACTATTTGGATGATAAGTACATTAAAAGCCCAGACTTCAATGCTACACGATATAGGCATGTAAGAAACCTGCACTTGTACCCCCTAAATATATTTTTTAATTAAAAAAATTTTTAAGTCACAGACTTATGATTCCATTTGTATATTCTCTACATGACAAAATTATAGATACAGAAAACAGATTAGCCGGTGCCAGGGTTTAAGGATAGTGGGAGGCCAGGGGACAGGTGTAACTATAAAAAAGCAGCACAAAGGAGATCTTCATGGTGATGGACTAGTTGTGGATATTGATTGCAACAGTGTTTCCATGAATCTACACATGTGATAGAATGACAGAGAATATACACACATTGTACCAACTGCCTAGTTTAGATATTGTACTATGATTATGTAAGATGTAATCATTGGGGAAAACTGGATGAAGGATACATGAGTCACCTCTGTATTATCTTTGCAACTTCATGTGAATCTATAATCATTTTTAAATTAAAAGTTTTAAAAAAGCAGCCATACATTCATGCTAAATTTAACATTTGGTTTGTGTATTGAAAAAAAATTTCTAAGGCAAGCTAGATTAAAAAAGAACGTAAGGTCAAGAACAATGCATATAATGTAGTCCTATTTACTTTTTTCTTTCAGAAAGGCAATATATGCAAGTACATATGCATATACATATGCAAGTACATATGCATATACATATGCAAGTACATATGCAAATACATATGCAAGTACATATGCATATACATATGCAAGTACATATGCATATACATATGCAAGTACATATGCATATACATATGCAAGTACATATGCATATACATATGCAAGTACATATGCATATACATATGCAAGTACATATGCATATATATATATGCAAGTACATATGCATATATATGCAAGTACATATGCATATATATATGTGCAAGTACATATGCATATATATGTGCAAGTACATATGCATATATATATGTGCAAGTACATATGCATATATATGTGCCAGTACATATGCATATATATATATATATGCCTATATAATTTATATATACAGAAATTTCCAAAGTAAAGGACAAGATACTAATAGCAAAGGCTGACCCTGGGGAACAGACTGGGGGAACCCAGAGTAAAGGATATTTTTAACATGAAAGAGGACTGTATTAATAATTGCACAGAAACAACAAGCATAACGAGCTCAAAACTCAGAAAATCAGAGTTTATGGTCACTGAGAGTAACATTACTCAATAAATGCCAGTTATTGTTGTTATCTTTTCTTCTTCCTTACATTTTTACCTATTTTGTGCAAAAAAAAAGTTTATGATAATGGTAGACTAAGTTATTTGTATTAACACTCCTATTAAAAAAATTGATAGGATAGTTTTATAGTGTTGGTAACCCATCAAATATATGATAGGATATCCTCTTAAACACCTGTCAGTCACTCAGTGGTCATCAACCTAAATGCTTACCACACCAGGAAGGTAAAGTAAATATGTGAGGGCCAGGTGTATTATTTAGGAAAAGATTGAGATGGTGGCAAACAAGAAATAACACCCAGACAAAGCATTTAAATACAAATGTATACAAGACATGGCTTGGATGAAACAAAACACATTTGTGTTCTGCCAGTCCCCCACAGCAACCCATGCATGTCTGCCTGCTAAGGAATCCTGTTCCACTGTAGGCAGATCTAATTGCTAGAAAGCTCCTTGTGCTCAGCTGAACTTTATGTCGGTAATTTCCCTCTATAAATCCTAGATCTGAGCATTTTCTTCATAACAATATTTAGTTGACTTGGCTTTAGCAAACACTTGCTGATGTCTAATAAGAACTAGTTCCTTTAGCACACGTTCAAAGCTACCTACAGGTAGGTAGACAATGTAACTCAAGTTTGTCCTCAGAAAGACTAGGGTTTAATCCCAACTCTGTCATCTAAAAGCTCTAGGACATTGGAAAAGTTATTTAAATCTTATATATATTCATATTCAAGATGTGGATAATAAAACTGTTCAGCTTGCAGAGTTGCTGTGGAGATTAAATGTGAAAATATGTACAATGCATAGCACATGTCAAAGAAATGACGTTTTCTGTTGGAAATGTAACTAATTTGGGGCCAATTGTTCAACTTTCTTGAATTTTTGAGAAAGTAGAAAATTAGCAAATTTTCAAAGTCATTTCATAGCCAAAGATTGAAAGACGAGCTACAGGCTTGATATCCTAAAGAAACTTCTTTTCTTTCCCAAGCTACCAGGTGTGTTTTCTCTCCTTGCCACTAGATGGCAATTGCCTCCCAGGGTATTTGAGCTCAAAGACCATAAAATCCCGGAGGCCACCACCAAGGCTAACTTTTAAATTACAAAGCAGTCCAGAACCATACCCTGGTCTCTCAAAGATAATTTGTTCACTTAGTAACTAAGAAATACAGGGACCACTTCCCGAAATTCAAGGGAGTGGGAGAAGGAGTGATTGTCTAGAAGAGCAACTCAAGACTTTTTCCACAAAGTAACTCATTCATCTGACCTAGTTTGTTCCTGCCGCAGAGTCTTTGCTCTCACTGCCCCATATTCCCAGACCCTCTCCCTCCAGACATTTGTGCAGCCCACTCCTTTATGTGTTTACATACTAGCTCCCTGCCTCCATAATGTTAGTCTCAGGAGAGTGGGGGCTGTTTTAGTTTCATACAGCACACTCAACCTCAAGAATAATGCTTCCTATGTAGTAAGTGCTCAGTAAACATTGGCTGAATGAAATTTAAATGAATACCCAGGACTCTCAAAAGTTGCTCGTCCAGTAGCTGGAAAGACACCCTCCCTCTTCTCAAGAAAGCAAATCAAGATGCAAGTGAACCAGAGATGGTCAATGTCCTGCTAATGCAGGGCTGAAGCTTCAGGTGGCTTCCCACCCGTCACCTCTGGAAATCACATCTCATCTCCTACGTTCTTGGGGCCTTCAGTGACAATAAACTAACCTGAGATGATGGGTAAAAGTCAAGAGTGACCCCTTTCTTTCCTTATCAATAACATGCCTTTTAATAGAGTCCTTCTGGAGAGAAAGCTGTTCCCAAAACCCATCATCTCTTTCCTGTAGTCTTTTATCTACACCTTCAGGTCTCATAGGTGCTTCGGATGGAAGCAAATGCAGTCTCTCTTTCTATAAACTGTCCCTGAGAGAGGCACCCCAATCCCTGGACTTCAGATCAGTACTCCCCTTGGGCCCCATATATAATCATCATCTCCTGATAATCTCACCTCAAGTCGGCCTCTGTATTCCTCTTCCCCATTCTCACTGCCGCCACCCGGAGTCAGGCCCTCCTTTTCCTAAGTTGGTGGACGGGAAATAGGCTATTTAATGAAATGCATGTTTCTGGCCATGACATTCTGCTCAAAACCTCCCAAGGACCTTGTAAAACCAGCTTACATCATCTCCTTATGCAGCCTTCCCTGCCCCTTCCTCTCAGAGCAGAATTGACCCTCTCCCCCTTGTGTCTCTGCTGTGCTTCATGTAGACTCATCTCATACCATCTGTTCCTCTTTACTGCAGTTAGCCAGCTGCTTCACCTCTAGACTAGCGGGCCTTGATCATGTCACTTTTTATGTCCAGTACCTTAAAAAATCCCTGACTTTCATCAGCGTATCAATACCTATACTTGGTTCTCATTATGCATCAAAAACAATCCGAGCCTCTTGCTCTATCATTAACAGTAACCAGCTTGTCCCTTCATTAGTCCCCCATACATCCCATCCACTCCCAGCCAGGCTGAGTGTCCCTCGGTGCCCCTGTTAGCATGTGTCTGGGACCACCTAAAGGGTCCTGGAGAAAGGCCCCTAAATGGTAACGTTCAGTACATGATGGCAGATTGTACTTAAAATGGTAGATGTTAGAATATAGTTAACTGGAGGTTCTAGAGCCAGACCACCTGGTTCAATCTCCCTTCTACCACTTACTAACTTGTGACTTGGGAAATTATACCACCTTAACCTCTCCGTGCCTTAGTTTCTTCCCTGGCAAAAAAGGTAGCAATAATAGTACCTATCTCATAAAGGTTTTTGGAGGATTAGAATGATACAGATAAAGCTCTGGAACAACCTTGTCACATAGTAAGCATTTAGTTAATTCTGATTATTATTGAGTGTCTGCTATATGTCAGTCACAATGCTAGAAACTTGACATATATTACTGAAACGGGAAAACTTCCCTTGCCCCCCTCATGGGGCATGCAATGGAGGAGTGGCTCGCCTCTTCAGTGCCTCACTGCTCAAGCCTCTAGGGGGAGCATGCAGACGGGCAGGCTGTGGGGCTTCAACCCCACGACAGTGTCTAGGGGTGAATGTTTACAGCTGAAACCCTAGTGGGCATGTGTTACAGGGTGTTCTTTTAGTTTAGCTGTTTGTAGGCGGCTTCTGTTAGCTCAATTAGACCCCTGCCTTATCACAAGGACAGAGGGTTTTCTGTATCCCAGGTTCTTGCCTTGGTGTACCAGAAGAATCAGATCACGCATGGGCTTGGAGAATGAGTGCAAGGTTTTATTGAGTGGACATATCTCTCAGCACATGGGGAAGCCAGAAGAGAGATGGTTTTCCTGTGGAGTTGGGCCGCTCGGCGGCTTGGGCTTTTCTCCAACTGCCGCCTTGTTCCACCTGTTGATGGCCTGCTGGCCTGCCAGCATCTGTCGTGTGCTCTTCCTCCAGCATGGTCCCCTCCATGTCCTCTCGATGTCCAGCCACTTGTGTCTTCTTCCACCGATGTGTTTCTCTTAACTTCCAGCAGCTTGTGTGTCTGCCTGCTAGGGCCTCAGGGTTTTTATAGGCACATGATGGGGACATGGCAGGCCAGGGTGGTCTTGGGAAATGCAACATTTGGGCGGGAAGGCTGGAGTATCTGTCCTCACCTAGGTCATTGGGCACAGGCCAAGGGTGGAGCCCTCGCCAGGGACCATGCCCTTCCCTTCCCAGCACTTCCCTTCCCCGCTTCTATATCATTACTTCTCATACTTACAGCAACACTGGAAGCGGGCAGTACTTTCTTCCTTCAACCAGTGAAAGGGCTGAAGTCCATAGAGATTAAGTATCTGTCTCAAATTCACATGGTCAGGACATTTCGAAGCAAGGATTTGAATCTACTTATGTGATTTTTGCCATACCTGTACTATTATTTACCAAATAACCTTTAATTTGGCTCCTTTTCCTTTAAATAAATATAATATATTAATAAATCTAAACTTCATTTCATTTTCACAAATAAGTTTGATGTGTTCACTAATTCTCCTCATTCACATAATAAGTTTACAATAGTTAAATGTTTGTCCACATTTCACCTAAAAATATCAGATATTCCACAGTAATTAGTAAAAATATTATATATTCCACAGTACATGGTACTAAGCCATGTTACTTAGCCTGTTTTTACTTATATGCACTTCACAAGAATAAAGTAATCACTTAACTTATAAATTAAAAGGACTTTAAAAGCAATCTAAGCCAGGAATAAGTAGCCTTCAATTTTTATGTCAATTTTGACGAATTGAAAATGGCTGCCCAGAATAATTACTGTGTTGGACACAACAAGAAATAACGCCATGCTCTCTGTGCACCGTAGGCCCAGGAGCCTGGAGTGAGGGGACTGGCCACATATTTGCCATTCTTTGTCTAGTCCCATCTACTCAACTTTTCAGAGATGATGCCCCATTAACTCTTCTTCCTCCCACCGCCATTACTTTACCAGATAACCAGGAGAGCCATATTTTACCAAGAGACACAGTAAGTAAGCAAGGAAGGAGACTGGCAACTCTCCTGATTCTGCAGTGATGGCACCTTAGGAGACACACAGGGAACTTAGGGTCATCAAAAAGGCAATTAAAAGGGCTGACAGACAATGTGCTGGATAGGACATCCAGGCAAGGAGAGTAGAAAAACATCAAGGAGCTGTAACAGCCAGACACAATAGGATCCTGGCAAGTAAATATTGTTTAATGTGATGACTGTGTATTAAACCTGAAGTTAGCATTTAGCCCCTGTCAGTCAGCCAGCAGGATGCCTCTAAGTGCTTACTGGGGCTCTTGTATATATATATTTTCTTGCTCCAACACATACTTAAGGCAGACACTGGGTTGTGGTAAAGGATCTCTTTTATGGTTATTTACTTGGACCAAGTTGTTATGCCCATGCAGACAAGCCTCTACTTATTTGGTCTCATTTGAAGGATTAAAAAAAAAAATCTCCTACTGATTGTCCCTGTATAATTCTTCCTATTCTTTCTGTTGTTAAAAGGAAGGGAGGTTTGTTCAGTGCTTAGGATCTCTCCAAAATCTACAAAAGAAGAGTCAGAGGCCCTTCCTCTTCTGGCAAGACTAGATCCCTTTTTCAGAAAACGTCTGAAAGATCACAGTTCAGAAAAGAGTTAACATAGCAGACTTGAAAACTGCTATCCTTAGAAAGCCCTGCTTACAAGGTTGGCCTTTAGGCTGACATCTGGAAACTTAGATTTCAGAAGATTCCTACCATTCACTGGCAAGAATGGCTCACTGTACCTAAACTGTGCAAATATGGTTTACAATGAACACCTGCTTTCCTTCTGGGAGTCTGGAATTTGGGTACATGGCAGGCAGAGGCAGGTAGAGAGGGCATGCCCCCAGACCCCAATGAAAAACCTGGGCACTGAGTCTCTAACGGGCTTTCCTGACGGACAACATTTCACACTTGTTGTCACAACTCATTACTGAGAAATTTAAGAGTGTCCTCTGTGACTACATTAAGAAAGGACCCCTGGAAATTTGCACCTAACTTACCCTGGACATGCACCTGTTCCCTTTGCCAATTTTTATCTGAATCCTTTCACTGCAATAAATACTTGCTGTGAATAGGACTATACATTCTATACATTGAGTCCTATGAGTCCCTCCAGGGGATCGTAGAACCAGTAGCAGACCAGGGGAATCCACTGACACAAGCACTTTTGCTTTTCTGTGCTCTGGGAATATAAGTATATGGGTCATGACCAGAAAACAAACAAACAAAAATTGAGCTAAAAATATGAAATTTAGCTATAAAGTGTGAACTCCATAATCATCAACTAGAGAGCTGATCTATGTCTTGGACAAGTGGGGAAACATGGTGAATTTCCTGTAGCAATTGGAGAAGGGGTATTTTGCCCTTGAAAAGCATCATTCAATTTATGATCTGATCTTGTACAGAAGAAGAGAAAGTGCTATATAAATAAATACTAGTTAACACAAACAACCTCTCTTGAAGTAGAACCACCTCCAAACTAGAAATCTAAGATTCCTCCCCACTTTTTTATAAAAGCCTGCCTTCCATAAAGGCCTTTAGAAAAACTTAGACCTGAAAAGGAGCTCAGAGCTCATCATTCCCTCTCTTCTCAGTACAGAAATCCTCTTTAGAACATTCCTATCAGGTTATCTCTTGAGCACTTCCCGTTCACCCAATGCTTCTCAAAAATTTCCTCCAAACTACTCGAAGAAAATAAATCTTATTGGCAGAGTAGTTACAGGTATAGTTCAAATCAGATTTGAAAAGATAAATATCTCTGAGCATACCTTGCTTTTCCTTAAAATTTATCTGATTTTTGTTATTTCCTCACATGTCTGTGTTTTGTGGAGATATTCATCACCATTTTAAAAAGCATGCCTCAGGCCAGGCACTGTGGCTCACACCTGTCATCCCAGCGCTTTGGGAGGCCAAGGCAGGAGATTCGATTGAGCCCAGGAGTTGGGGACCAGGCAGGGCAACATATCAAGACCTTGTTTCTGCTAAAGATAATTTTTTTTCCAAAAACTTAGCCAGGTGTGGTAGCACATTCCCGTACTCCCAGCTACTAGGGAGGCTGAGGTGGGAGGATAGATTTAGCCTGGGAGATTGAGGCTGCAGTGAGGTTGGAACACCATTGCACTCCAGCCTGAGAGACAGAAAAAAACCTTGTCAAAAAAGAAAGAAAAAAAAATAATGTGGCCAGGCGTGGTGGCTCACGACTGTAATCCCAGCACTTTGGGAGGCTGAGGCGGGCGGATCATGAGGTCAGGAGATCGAAACCATACTGGCTAACACGGTGACACCCCGTCTCTACTAAAAATACAAAAAATTAGCCAGGCGTGCTGGCAGGCGCCTGTAGTCCCAGCTACTCAGGAGGCTGAGGCAGGAGAATGGTGTGAACCTGGGAGGCGGAGCTTGCAGTGAGCTGAGATCGCGCCACTGCACTCCAGCCTGGGGGACAGAGCAAGACTCCGTCTCAAAAAAAAAAAAATAAACAAATAATAAAGTATGGCCTTAGAGAGATTACTAAAGTACATTTTTATGTAACTTTTTTCTAATTACAAAACACAAAAAAAGTACAGAGAGAAAAGAACAATACCTATGCATAATCCCTGCACTCCTACCGCAAGATAACTGCTTCTAATATTTATGTGCCTGTCTTATAAATTTTTATTTTAAAGAAAAAAACAGCTATAAGATAGTGTGATAGGTTCTACTTGCAGAAAAAAATATATGAAAGAAAAAAAGAATGGAGAATTACAATCTTAACAGAAGAAGTGCCTGAAATCTACTTTGACTAGAAAACCTAGAGGTGAGAGAGACAGAAAATTAAACATAATAACCATGTTTTCATTTTAAAACACACCTTTCAAGTAAGGATCCAAATGCTTCAGATATACTAGGCAAAGATGGGGTCCAAGAAATTTAAGAAAGGTTGTCTGCACATGTATTCACCTTGATTCTTTGTTAATGTAAGGTTTGGTATCTATATACCCTTTAGTTATACTCACTCAGCAGCTGTCAGCAGAATCATTACACAGGTTAAGAAACAGCAGTGTTGGGAATTTATTTTCCAATGACATATATATACAGGTCTTTCCAAGAGGTAGAAAGCTTAGGTCTCATAAGACAAATAATTGTGCTTATAAGGCATTAGATTTCGTGGTTGGCCAGCTGAATAGGTCCATTTCAAGGTCCTAAAAGAAGTAGATGTTGCACACACACACACACACAAACACACACACACGCACACACACACACGAAGATGGGTGAAACTCCTGCTGAACAACAATATTCCACCAGGCAACTGGCTAAAGGAGTGGAATTTACTTCAATGGTTGGAAACCTAAGGGCATCTACAGTGTTTGAAAGAAACTGAGAACTTGCTTTAGAAGTCCAAGTTTTAGTCCAAGTTCTGTCCTTTACCATCTGGTTGTCTTCGCAAGCCATTTCACTTCTCTGAGCCTGTTTTCCCATCAATAGAATGGGTATAACAACGTCCACCTTGAATGATTGGGGGGTTACATAATTTAGACGGCCTGGCATGTAATAAATACTGCATAAATGTAGCCCAGAGAATTGCTACACTGATAAAATAAAACAATACATGTGAAAGCACTTTGTAATCTGTATAGTTATCTGGGAGTGGGAGAAAGCCAAACCTCACCAGAATACTATTGTTTAGAACTAAGGATTACATTTAATAAGGGCCTCATACATCAAGGAAGGCAAACAGATTGAGACAACTCCATTTGATGAGGAGCTGCTGTCTCGAATGCCACATTGTAAAAAATATCCTGCAGCCATGGGTTCAGAAGGGACAAAGAAATACAGCATTAATGCCAGTTATTGTAGCATAATCGAAATGAGTTAGAGCTTGAGCCCAGCGGGAACTTACAGAAAGACGTTCTGCCTACACCCCGGCTCCCTGATCTGCAGCTGCACCACTGAATGTTGCAGAAAAAGGTTTCATGAACAGAAAATGGCAATCATAAGACTTGTAGGGTGTATACGCTCTTTTCAAGTATATCTAAGTGCATGATCTCAAGTTACTGGATATCAGCAAAAGAGAACAGAGAATATTTCCAGCCACAATCCAAGGACAATATGGAGTATCAGTTTCCACTAAATATGAGATTAATGATAGCCCTACTTGATAGGGTTTCTATGAGGAATAAATTAGATGAAATACATAAAATACCTAGAACAGATCTAGCATGGGGCAAGCGTTCAATAATATATAACTATTATTATAAGGATAAAGATGTATTATCTTTTGTTTCAATAATTCACAATATAATTTGGGATTAGGTTGCAAAATTGATGAGTAATGTGATACTCAAGTCAGGTAAAATTATTTATTAATAATCTCTAAATTATCAAGACCTGCAGACTTGGAAGCTCCAAAGCAAATAATACATGACTTTAATCACTCTTTGTCTTTCAATTGATACCTCCCTTTACCTAGGGCAAGGGAAGCTTCTGTTTTAATGGAAAGGAAAAGAGGGAGGACGGAAGGAATTGAAGCTGGAATAGGCTTGTACAATGGGACAAATAAATATAGTTTTCACTCTTTATGACCAATACATACAGTTGGCTTCATTTTACAGTTGGCTTCAAGTTAACAGTGCATGTGATGCAAATCAATTTACAATTTTCCTTAATAATTAAATCAAATAGTAATAAAATACTTAAAGCTGTCTTTTACTATGCCTCAGTCTGACAACGAGAGATAACTACTGCAAACATAATGAATTATGTCTTCTGGTATTCAACTTCATTTCTCTAAATAATGTGCTTGTGCATTTATTTCCTAATTAATGTATCTTATACATTATCTAGTGACTTCTGTTAATATTAGCTCTATTACATTCCCACCAACCCTCCACCTCCTTTCTTCCCTACACTTCCTCTTATATCACAGTGTTTATATTTTTATTATGTAAATATTGTTTATTTCCAAGTCAAATAGTTTATTATTATTACATTCCCATTCACATACAGTTTTCTGGTATTTCTTTTTCTTTTCTTTTTTTTTTTTTTTTTGAGATGGAGTTTCGCTCTTGTTGCCCAGGCTGGAGTGCAATGGCGTGATCTCAGCTCACCACAACCTCCGCCTCCCGGATTCAAGTGATTCTCCTGCCTCAGCCTCACAAGTAGCAGAATACCAGCTACTTACAGGCATAGTTAGTGATTGCTTTATTTATCATTGCTACTGATTACAAGCATAGTTAGTGATTGCTTTATTTATCACTGCTTGGTTTTCTGTGCCCATTCCAAGTTTTTTTCAAATGCTGCAGCTGTTTTGATGTGTACCTATCAATAATTATTTAACTCAAATGCTAGCCAACCATTTAATTTAGTTATATCATTTTTCTCTTTCAGGATGAAACTGTCCATCCAGCTCTAAGGAGAACTGGTAGCTTCCTTGCCCTGATGCTTAGCTGTTTATACTGAAACTTCCCCTCCACTTCTCTCCTGTATTGGATCCCCTGATTCCTTGAAGTAATGTCTATTTTTCATTTTACCCTATCAATTGCTAAAACATGTTCTGCAATAACTTCCTGAGAAAAGATACATGAAAAATTAGTTTTTGGACTTCTCATGTATCTTGATTGATTGATTGATTGATTGATTTACGGGGTATGGAAACCTAAGTTGAAGTCACATCCCCTTAGAATTTTGAAGGTATTTCTTTACTATCTTCTAGAATCCTATATTTTAGCCATTTGAATTGCTATCCTTTGATTGTGACCTGTTTTTTCCTCTATAACTTGATGTGGGTTTTTTTGCATTTGTTGATCTGGGTAATTGGTGGACGCTTTCAGTCTAGAAACTTTCAGCCTTCAGTAAAGAGAAATTTTCCTATATTATTTATTTGATAATTTCTTCCTTTACTTTTTCTCAGTTCTATCTTTCTGGATCACTTCCTTCATTGGATGTTTGTTCTCCTTGTTTGATCTCCAATTTTCTCATCCTTTTTCCTTTGATTTTTAACCTCTAGTTCTATTTTCTGGACAATATCTTTCACTTTATTATCTACATTTTAATAAAATTAACCGATTCATTTGTATTAGTCAGGGTACTTAGGTGCAATGATTAGAAGGAAACTCTGGCTCATAAAGCAGAAAGGGAATGTACATAAAACATTTTGAGTAGCTTATAGAATATTTGCAATATGAAAGAACAGACGTGGAGGCTACAACAGCCAAGAAACCAGAGCACCCTCAATACTTCTCAGAACTTAATCCATAAAAGCATTACTGTAGCCCTCAATGGGCATAGCTTGCACTGCAATGCCACCAACACTGGGTGCTGTGTGGTGTCACTAGAATTTCTTCCAGTCTACCACTGGAGGCTGGAAGTAGCTGAAATCACAACTTCCAGACTCACCAGAATGGATCTGTGTGATACCTGAGTCTTCCTGTCACTAAATGCTAATTCAAATTCTGGAGAAACTGACCATGCCCTAGTTACAAGCAAATGTTTGACATTTTTGGTTTTAATATTGGAAACTGGCTCTGCCTCAAAAGGTAGGGAATCCCCCAAATGTATGATAAGGATTCAGAGCCTGGGCAATCACAAAGGATAAAAATGTCCACTGAGGTCCACACTTAATCCATCCTACACCAATGTTCACCCTTCTTCTACACTTCTAAAAAAATGCTTCTACATAGCATAATGCAATGAAAAATACCTTGTCCAACTAAAAAACATGCTTATCCTTTGCCCTAATATTTAAAAAGCAGTAAACTCAAAGTCTCACTGTTATTTATTGTTTCCATTCCAAGACCAGGATCTCTGAGTAATGTTCATGCTTCTCCGGTTCTATACTGATAACCTTCTATTCAATATCACATAATCTTGGATTAATTTGTGAATTTAACCAGAATGAACAAACATAAGGTAGTGGGAGATGGGGGATAAAGGAAAGAAAAGAAGGCAGTTCAACTGTCTAGGATATTTATTATTTTCAATGGCAAAACTCGCAATTACTTTTGCACCAACCTACAATAGAAGAAAATATTGGGAGATGCGGCTGTCCTTATTTCTCCAAATCCCCATGAAACTTGTGGCAGGCTGAAAAATGATTCTTCAAAGATATGTCCACATCCTAATCCTTGGAACCTGTATATGTTACTTACTGTATTTGAATACAGAGTCTTTGTAGCTGCAATTGAATTAAGGATCTTGAGATGAAGAGATAATCCTGGATTACAAACATGGGCATAAAATCCAATCATAGGAGTCCACGTAAGAGAGAAGCAGAGAAATGTTTGACACACACAGAAGAAGAAAAGTCAATGTGTACACCAAGGCAGAGATTACAATGATGTGGCCACAAGCCAAGGAATGCCAGCAGCCACCAAAACGTAGAAGAGGCAATAAATGATTATCCCCTAGAGCTTCTAGAGGGAGTATGTTTGTTCCTGCTGAAACCTTGATTTTAGCTCAGTGAAACTGATGTCATATTTATGGTCTTCAGAATTGTAAGAGAATAAATTTCAGTTATTTTAACCAGGCTTGTGAGAGGTTGTTAACAGCAGCCACTGGAAAGGAATATGAAGCTACAGTAGAATTTAGGATTTTCCTTCTCTATTATCAGGCTCAGAAGTCTGTGTTTGTCAAATGCTTCTTATGAGATTCTAGACATTATTCAGATTTTTAAATTACTTCTTTGGTAGCAGCAGCATCTGCTAAATGAGTCACTTCTTCACCACCCTGCTATTTCCTTCTACGGGGAGGAGTTCCTATACCTTTAATACTTCTGATCTGCCCATTTTCTCACTAATTGGTGAATTTGGAAGGAGAAGTTCCTTTCTTTTGGGAGCTTGCTCCCTGCACAGAGGTTTTTGTAGCTGGGTAGTTGGCTTTTAACTGCTACAACCTGAACAAAAGACTTTTAAGTCTAGGCTGCAGAGTATTGTGACTTTTGTGGATGATTATAGTTTAAGGAGGCCAAGTCCAGAGGCAGAACCTGACCCATGGGGAGGTTTCAAAGAAATGTCAGTTGAAAGCCACTGGGCCTCAGCAAAGACACTGGAGCCCTCAGGTCTCAGCAAAATCTCCAGGAAGAATATTTAGTGGGGGCAAGAAAACCGCAACTGGAGGAAGTTCACCCAGAGGCTGGCAAGCAAACTGATTGCTTTGTCCTCAGCAAACTTACAGGCCCATAGTAGGCACAGGCAGCTTCACAGTATAGGCAAAAGCAGTTCAAACTTTAACTACATGTAACATACCTGTCTGGGCAGCAGGACCTCTGCAGATGCCTTGGAATATGTTAGGAAGCCTGAGTCAATAAGAACCCCCGAGGCAAGGGTCCAGTTGTAGCGAAACACAAGTGTTTCTTCCTATAAGCCTTTGAGACATTAGTTATAGCACAACATTTGTTTTTTTAAGCTTAAAGGAAGGTAAACTCATGTGCACTACAGAGCACTAGGGAGATTCACATATATCCATGCTAGCTTTATATCATTTATCATCATTTATGTCACATTAGCTTCATATATCCATACTAGCTTTATATTATTCGTGTCCAGCCAACATAAGATGTACTAGATTGGCTGTTTCAACTTCCATTCTACATTCCCAAGGGGAAAACTGCAACAAGGTCTTAGGTTGAACTAGTAAGTCTTGTATATGTACTCAAGATCATCCTCATTCAGTGGTACCCCATTTGGTTAATTTCTTATAAGGAAGAAACCTTCCCCAGGATGCAGTTTTCTTTAACCTAAACAACCTGACAGGTGCGTGACACATGACTGACACGTCTGTGACACATGACTGACACGTCTGTGACACGTGTGTGACACGTGACTGACAGGTGTATGACACGTGTTATACGTTAATGACATGTGTGTGGCATGTGACTGACACATGAATGACAGGTGACTGGCACATGACATGTGTGACACGTGACTGACACATGTGGCACAGACTGACAGGTGTATGACACTTGTGTGACAGGTGACTGATGTGTGTGACACGTGACTGACACATGTCTGACATGGGTGACACATGACTGGCACATGACTAACACGTGTGGCACGTGACACTTAAATGACATGTGTGTGACACGTGGCTGACATGTGGCTGACACGTGTGTGACACATGACTGACACTTGGCTGACACATTTCTGACACATGGCAGGTATGTTCTGACACATAGCTGATGTGGGGGGGGGGATGTGACTGACGTGTGTGACCAGTGTGTGACCCATGACTGAATCATTGCTGACCCGTGAATGACTCGTGTGTGACCCGTGTGTGACCCCTGTCCAGCTTATTTTTGTTTTTTTAGTAGAGACGAGGTTTCACCATGTTGGCCATGATGGTCTTGATCTCTTGACTTCATGATCCACCCTCTTGGCCTCCCAAAGTGCTAGCATTACAGGTGTAAGCTACCGCACCTGGCCTCAAATGATATTCTGTTGGAAATGAGAATGGATGTACAGGTGAATATTCCTTTCAGGTATGGTAGATATGCAAGGTCATATTAGTTTCTCTTGGAGATTTCTCCCTACTCAGCTTTGGCTCACAGCATGCATTGTTAAGAGGATTCTGGAAGCTTGACATTGACCTTCTTGTGTCTTAGAGACATTAAAACAAAGAAGGCTTTCTTTTTCTACTTTTCACTCAGGAAACTTAGAGTATTTGGTAACATAAAATACTGGGTTCTAGGGAAATAACTGTCCCTGGGATAACTGCTCTAGAGCCTGAAAATTGATTTTTTTTTTAATTTGGTGAATATGGCCAGTACTGACAAATGTGTGCAGCATATTAAGATGAAACACCAAAATTGTTGCTTCAGAACAATTCTGGAGTCCATGAAGGACCCATACTCCTCCCAGGGAGAGGAATCCCAAGCTATAGGTGCCACAGGAGCCCACCCCACCCTCTCAATGAGACTGAGCAGAAAAAGAAACTGAGGAGGGCACTTTCATGTCTTTAGATTTTTAACTCACAGGAGTAGGAGAATTTAAATTACTGAGGGGATTCGATTCCCTGGAGCTTTCATGTCTTTTAACTTTAGCTTGCAAGGGGATTTAATCTTCAGGCCTTAATTCCTCTCTGGGAATTTGATGATGGGAGGAGGCTTATACCCAAATGTGGAACATCTCTATCTTGCCAGGCCTTTTACTACTACAGGGTCTCCATGCACTTCATTTTGGAGCATTTTATGATATCACTTGATCTCACTGTAGAACTTCTGACAACACTGACTAACTAAACAAAGAGCAAAGCAGTAAGAGGTGTCCTCTCCATGGTGAAGAGTGTTTTCAATCGTTGACATTATTCAGAATTGTTGGTGCATCATAATAATAAGTCACACCAAGCCTAAACCAAGGGTGGAATATCCACTGGAGGGTTTCTTCTCTTGGGAAATCATTTTCAGATAAGCCACAATTGGGAGTATAGCGGATAATTTAGGAAGGGAAATAGAATAATAGATTTTCTTAGCTTTGGATGTAGAAGGTACTTAAAATTGGTTTAATTAACATACATTTCTGACTTATTTCAGAACCTTGTAGAGGCGAAAATTCACATTGCCTCTCGATAGTCCCAGGATCAAAGCCAGAGGATCAGAGGTTGTGACTGAGGCAAGGGCCTTGTGAAAGCCTGCTGATCTCCTCCCATGAGGGGGATAGATAGCCCACTGTTGGTTAACCACAGGGTTAATGTCCCAGTCACTGAATTGATTGACCAAAACTTGAGATCTAAAAGTCCTAGCCACAGCAATTAGGCAAGGGGAAGAAATAAAAGGCATCCAAATAGAAAGACGGGAAGTCAGACTGTCTCTCTTTACTAATGATATGGTTCTTTACCTAGAGAATCCCCTAATCTCTGCCCAAGTCTCTTAGATCAGATAAATAACTTAGGCAAAGTTTCAGGATAAAAGACCAATATACTAAAATCAGTAGTATTTCTATACACCAATAACATCCAAGCTGAGAGCCAAATCAAGAATGCAATCCGATTCACAATAGCCACAAAAAGAATAAAGAACCTAGGAATACAGCTAACCAGGGAGGTGAAAGATCTCTACAATAAGAATTTTAAAACACTGCTGAAAGAAAGCAGAGATGACACAAACCAACGGAAAAACATTCCATGCTCATGGATAAGAAGAATCAATATTGTTAAAATGGCCATACTACCCAAAGCAATTTACAGATTTAATGCTATTCCTATCAAACTACCAAAGACATTCTTCTTCACAGAATTAGAAAAACTATTCTAAAAATAATTTTGAACCAAAAAAGATCCTGAATAACTAGAGAAATCCTAAGCAAAAAGAACAAAGCTAGAGACATCACACTATATGACTTTAAACTATGCTACAAGTCTGCAGTAACTAAAATAGCATGGTACTTGTAAAAAAAAAAAAATAAAAAAAAAAAGACACCTAGACCAACGGAACAGGTTAGAGAACCTAGAAATAAATCTGCACACCTACAACCATCTGATCTTTGACAAAGCCAAGAATAACAAGCAAAGGGGAAAGGACTCCCTATTCAATAAATGGTGCTGGGATAACTGGCTAGTCATATGCAGAAGATTGAAACTGGACCACTTCCTCTCACTATATACAAAAATCAACTCAAGATGGATCAAAGGCGTAAATGTAAAACCTAAAACTATTAAAATCCTAAAAGAAAACCTAGGAAATACCATTCTGGCCATTGGTCCTGGCAAAGATTTTATGATGAAGACTCCAAAAACAATTGCAACAAAAACACAAATTGAGAAGTGGGACCTAATTAAACTAAAGAGTTTCTGCATAGCAAAAGAGACTATCACAGAGTAAACAAGCAACCTACAAAATGGGAAAAAATATTCGCACACTACATATCTGACAAAGGTCTAATATCCAGAATCTATAAGGAACTAAAGTTCTAATATCCAGAATTAACAAGCAAAAAACAAATAAGTCCATTAAAAATGGGCAAAGGACACATCTCAAAATACATATATGCTGCCAACAAGTATAAGAAAAAATGCTTAACATCAGTAATCATTGGAGAAATGCAAATGAAAACCACAATGAGATACCACCTCACACCATTCAGAATGGCTATTATTAAAAAGTTAAAATATAACAGATGCTGATTAGGCCATGGAGAAAAAGGAAAGCTTATACACTGCTGGTGGGAATGTAAATTAGTTCAGCCACAGGAAAGCAGTTTGGAGATTTCTCAAAGAACTTAAAACAGAGCTACCATTCGATCTTGCAATCCCATTACTGGAATATCAGTTGTTTTACCATAAAGACACACGCACATGTACGTCCATTGCAGCACTACTCACAATAGCAAAGACATGGAATCAACCTGGACTTAGAAAGTGTGGTACATATACACAATAGAATACTACACAGCCATAAAAAAAAGAATGAGATCATGTCCTGTGCAGTGCCATGGATGCAGCTGGAGGCCATTATCCTAAGTGAATTAAAGCAGGAACAGAAAAGCAAATACTGCATATTCTCACTTATAAGTGGAAGGTAAAAAACTACTTTAAAGTTCATATGGAACCAAAAAAGAGCCCGCATTGCCAGGTCAATCCTAAGCCAAAAGAACAAAGCTGGAGGCATCACACTACCTGACTTCAAACTATACTACAAGGCTACAGTAACCAAGACAGCATGGTACTGGTACCAAAACAGAGATATAGACCAATGGAACAGAACAGAGCCCTCAGAAATAATGCTGCATATCTACAACTATCGGATCTTTGACAAACCTGACAAAAACATGCAATGGGGAAAGGATTCCCTATTTAATAAATGGTGTTGGGAAAACTGGCTAGCCGTATGTAGAAAGCTGAAACTGGATCCCTTCCTTACACCTTATACAAAAATTAATTCAAGATGGATTAAAGACTTACATATTAGACCTAAAACCATAAAAATCCTAGAAGAAAACCTAGGCAATACCATTCAGGACATAGGTATGGGCAACGACTTCATGTCTAAAACACCAAAAGCCAAAATTGACAAATGGTATCTAATTAAACTAAAGAGCTTCTGCACAGCAAAAGAAACTACCATCAGAGTGAACAGGCAACCTACAGAATGGGAGAAAATTTATGCAACCTACTCATCTGACAAAGGGCTAATATCCAGAATCTGCAGTGAACTCAAACAAATTTACAAGAAAAAAACAAACAACCCCATCAAAAAGTGGGCGAAGGATATGAACAGACACTTCTCAAAATAAGATATTTATGCAGCCAAAAAACACATGAAAAAATGCTCACCATCACTGGCCATCAGAGAAATGCAAATCAAAACCACAGTGAGATACCATCTCACACCAGTTAGAATGGCGATCATTAAAAAGTCAGGAAACAACAGGGGCTGGAGAGGATGTGGAGAAATAGGAACACTTTTACAGTGTTGATGGGAGGGTAAACTAGTTCAACCATTGTGGAAGTTAGTGTGGCGATTCCTCAGGGATCTAGAACTAGAAATACCATGTGACCCGACCATCCCATTACTGGGTATATACCCAAAGGACTATAAATCATGCTGCTATAAAGACACATGCACACGTATGTTTATTGCGGCACTATTCACAATAGCAAAGACTTGGAATCAACCCAAATGTCCAACAAGGATAGACTGGATTAAGAAAATGTGGCACATATACACCATGGAATACTATGCAGCCATTAAAAATGATGAGTTCATGTCCTTTGTAGGGACATGAAGCTAGAAACCATCATTCTCAGCAAACTATCGCAAGGACAAAAACCAAACACCGCATGTTCTCACTCATAGGTGGGAATTGAATAATGAGAACACATGGACACAGGAAGGGGAACATCACACACCGGGGACTGTTGTGGGGTGGGGGGAGGGGAAAGGGATAGCATTAGGAGATATATCTAATGCTAAAAGACGAGTTAATGAGTGCAGCACACCAACATGGCACATGTATACATATGTAACAAACCTGCACGTTGTGCACATGTACCCTAAAACTTAAAGTATAATAATAAGAAAATAAAATAAATAAATAAATAAATAAATAAAATAAGTGGAAGGTAAACATTTAGTACACATGGACACAAACAACGGAACAATTGACACCAGGGCCTTCTTGAGGGTAGAAAGTGGGAGAAGGGTGAGGATTTAAAAACTACCTATTGGGTACTATGTTGATTACCTGGGTGACAAAATTATTAGTACGCCAAATCCCTGCAACATGCAATTTACCCATATAACAACCTGCACATGTACCCCATGAACCTAAAATAAAAGTTGAAAACAATTGAAAATATAATTTTAAAAAAAAGAAAAAAAAAAAAAGAAGCAAAGGACTGTTGGGGGAAATGATTGCTTCGTCATTCCTGGTGTTTCCTTTGTAGGGAGAAAGCTCCGCAGCCATAACACATTGTTACCTACTCCCCGATGGATGAGTTGGAAGGGGAAAGTGGCCATGCCAAATCTATGTTCTCACAGTTCTGGAGGCTGGAAAGTCCAAGATGAAGGCACCAGCAGATTTAGTGTCTGGTGAGAACTGCTCTCTATCTCCAAGATGGCACCTCTTATTGCATCCTCATGTAGCAGAAAGTGTGACCAGTTCCCTCACACCTCTTTTAAACATGCTAATCCCAAAGGCTCCGCCCTCATGACTTAAACCCCCACCTCTTAATACTATCACATTGGCAATTAAGTTTCAACACATGAATTTGGGGAGGGCACATTCAGACCATAGCATGGCTCCCTTAGCGTGCTGCAAGGTGTTTCTATCACCACATTTTTCAAAAGTCTTTCTTTTTTTTTTTTTTTTTTTTTTTTTTTTGAGACGGAGTCTCGCTGTCGCCCAGGCTGGAGTGCAGTGGCGCAATCTCGGCTCACTGCAGGCTCCGCCCCCTGGGGTTCACGCCATTCTCCTGCCTCAGCCTCCCGAGTAGCTGGGACTACAGGCGCCCGCCCCCTCGCCCGGCTAATTTTTTTTATTTTTAGTAGAGACGGGGTTTCACCGTGTTAGCCAGGATGGTCTCGATCTCCTGACCTCGTGATCCGCCCGCCTCGGCCTCCCAAAGTGCTGGGATTACAGGTGTGAGCCACCGCGCCCGGCCTCAAAAGTCTTTCTTAAGACAGCAGGACAAGAAGTCCACAACCAAATGATCAGCCTTCATATGATCAATATGCCTTGAATCGGCCAAAGTGAATCCATCAAGCAACTATTACATACACTATTTTAACCTTTAGAATTCTTTTAAAGAGTACCAAAAAAAAAGAACAGCTCACTAGTAGAACAAAATAAGCAGAGTGGGAAACCTAGAAATCCAATGGAAAGCAAAAAATAATGAGGATGACAACAATAATAATGAAGATGATGGCAAAACATAGCTTGTGTTGGCAGTGGTGGTGTTTGACAAACTCCAGGAACTGAGTCACCAGCACTTTCAACAACCTATAAATGCTACAATCTGGAGCAGTCTGGCTTATTTTAGAACCATGTAATCAGCTGTGGGTCTAAAACTAGATGATGGGTGTTGACCTGAGCAGAGAACCAAAAAGAGAGGAAACAAGGTTGTATTTCTGGAAATTAAGCACTATGTTGAAAGAACAAAGGAAGGGAATCATTTATTTAGAAGTATATGTGAAAACGTAATGAGATGAAGAAAAATCTCATTCACCCAAATCCCTGTTAGGGAAAGCATCGTATTTGTCCTGGAATAGATGTCTTGATTAATAACTACTGGTCAAGGGTAAGACTCACCCCATATCCTGCTGGTGCATGCTCAAGAAACAAGTGCTGTCTGTTAAATTGTTCTGCATAGTAGAAAAGTGAGGAGTTTAAAGTTCTATTTGAAAAGAGAAGAAGAAAAGCCAAAAGATTTATGCAAGCGGAAAAGAAACCGGATTGTTTATGTCCATACCACCCAAAGCAATACCCAGATTTAATGCAACCCCTACCAAAATTCCAATGGCTTTTTTCACAGAAATAGAAAAAACAATCCTAAAATTTGTACGGAACCACATACAAAAAAAATCCAAATAGCCAAAGCAGTACTACGAAACAAAAGCAAAGTTGGAGGTATCATACTTCCTGGTTTGAAATTATATAGCAAAGCAATAGTAAGCAAAAAAGTGCTGGGTGTGATAGGTCACACCTGTAATCTCAGTACTTCGAGAGGCTGAGGCGGGAGGATTGCTTGAGCTCAGGAGTTTGAGACTGGCCTGGGCAACACAGCAAAACCTCATCTCTACAAGAAATACAAAAATTAACCGGGAGTGGTGGCACATACCTGTGGTCCTAGCTACTCAGGAAGCTGAGATGGGAGGATCCCTTAAGCCTGCGAGGTAGAGGCTGCAGTGAGTCATGTTCGTGCCACTGCACTCCAGCCTGGGTGACAGAGTGAGACCCTGTCTCAACAACAACAACAACCCCCCAAAAAAAAGGGGGGAAGGGAAAAAGTATAGTGCTGGCATAGAAGCAGAAACATAGGCCAATGGAGCAGGATAGAGAGCCCAGAAATAAATCTAAATAGATACGGTCAACTAAATTTGGACGAGAATACCAAGAAGACAGAATAAGGAACAGATAGTTTCTTCAATAGGAAAACTGGATTTACACACGCAAAAGAATAAAATTAGACCCTTAACTTACACCGTATACAAAAAGAAACTCCAAATGGATATGAGACCAAAAATGTAAGACCTGAAATTATAAAATTCCTAGATGAGAACATAGAAGAAAACCTCCTTAACATTGGTCTTGGTGATGATATTTTTTGGATAACACACCAAAAGCTTTTACCACAAAAACAAAATTAATAAATATCAAACTAAAAAGTTTATACACAGCAAAGAAAACAACAAAATGAAAAGGCAACTATGAGCTGGGAAAAAATAATTGCAAACCAAATATCTGAGGAGGGCTTAATATCCAAAATTTATAAAGAACTCTTACAACTTAATAGCAGAAAAGCAAATAATCTGATTTTTAAAATGGGAAAAGGAGCTGAATAGATATTTCTCCAAAAAAAAAGACATAAAAATGGCCAACAGGTATATGAAAATGTTCTCAACATCACTAACTATCAGGGAAATGCAAATTAAAACCACAATGAGCTATCACCTCGCACCTGTTTGGATGACTATTATCAAAAAGTCAAGAAATAACAAATGTTGACAAGGGTATACAGTGAAGAGAACCATTGTACAAAGTTGTTAGAAATGTAGATTGGTACAGTCATTATGGAAAACAGTATGGAGATTCCAAAAATAATTAAAAATAGAGTACCATAAGACCCAGAAATTCCTCTTCTGGGTATATCCCCAAAGGAGACAAAATCACCACTTCATAAAGATATCTGCACTCCCAGGTTCACTGATGCATTATTAACAATAGCTAAGATATGGAAACAACCTAAATGCCCATAGATGGATGAGTAGATAAAGAAAATGTGGTGGTGGGGTATGTGTGTGTGTGTGTGTGTACAGTAGAATATTGTTTAGGCTTTAAAACAGAGATCCTGCCACTTGCCACAACATGGATGGACCAGGAAGACAGAAGGATGTTATGCTAAGTGAAATAAGCCAGACATAGAAATAAAAATATTACATGATCTCACTTATATGTGGAATTAAAAAAAAAAAAAAGCTCAAATACACAGAGATAGAGAATGAAACAGTAGTTTCCATGAGAGTAGCAAGGTAGGAAATTGGGAAATGTAGGTAAAAGGATAAAAAATAGTAGATATGTAAGATAAACAGGTCTTGAGATCTAAGGTACAATATGTGAACTACAGTTAATAAAATTGTGGCCGGGCGCGGTGGCTCATGCCTGTAATCCCAGCACTTTGGGAGGCCGAGGCAGGTGGATCTCCTGAGGTCTGGAGTTTGAGACCAGCCTGGCCAACATGCTAAAACCCCGTCTCTACTAAAAATACAAAAAATTAGCTGGGCGTGGTGGCAGGCACCTGTAATCCCAACTACTCGAGAGGTTGAGGCAGGAGAATCTCTTGAACCCGGGAGGCGGAGGTTGCAGTGAGCCAAGATGGCGCCGTTGCACTCCAGCCTGGGTGACAGGAGCAAGACTCCATTTCAAATATAATTATAATTATAATTATAATAAATAAGAAATAAAATGAAATTGTATTGTATTGGGGATTTTGGTTAAATAAGTAGATTTCAGCTGTTATTGTCACGCAAAAAAGTAACTGTTAAATGATAGGTGTGTTAATCTACTTTACTATAGTAAGTTTTTTTGTTTTTTTTTTTTTGGTTTTTTTTTTTTTTTGAGACAGAGTCTTGCTCTTTCGCCCAGGCCGGACTGCAGTGGTGCTATCTCGGCTCACTGCAAGCTCTGCCTCCCGGTTCAAGTGATTCTCCTGCCTCAGCCTCCCGAATAGCTGCGACTACAGGCGCCCGCCACCACACCTGGCTGATTTTTTGTATTTTTTTTAGTAGAGACGGGGTTTCGCCGTGTTAGCCAGGATGGTCTCGATCTCCTGACCTCGTGGTCCTCCCACCTCGGCCTCCCAAAGTGCTGGGATTACAGGCGTGAGCCATTGCGCCTGGCCGTACGTATTTTACTATCTATACGTATCACGTAATACCACGTTGTAAACCTCAAATGTACACAATAAAAATTTGTACAGAAAAAAAGAAAGAGATCAGAGAAAAAAAATCTCCCATAATTGGCAAGAAAAGAAGGAACTGAAATAAAAAGTCATATCTGATGGTTAAACCATAGGTGAAAAAGGCATTAAACAAAGTATTTATTTAAAAATGGTTTGGACCTTGACGTGTCCTTTTTTTCTTTGATATTTTAAAAGAAAACTATAGGGTAAGCAAATGCTTGCAGAAGTTTAAACTCATGTCTCTTTAGACACAGAGACTAAGAGGTCTTTTGAGACCTTCTCCGTCTTGTGGTTCTATGACATTTCATGGAATCAAAAGCATGATTAAGCCTGAAGAACTATAATAAAAACAAGCCTCATATGTAATTATAGTATCCAAAAGTGCCTACTTGGTCTCTTTTGCTGCTGCTTCTTGTATTTTTTTTTTAACCTAAACAGCTTCAAACTGCAAATTAACATTTTAAAAAAGATCCAGCGTTCTCAAGAAAGAAAAAGAAAGTACGTACTTCTGCATTCAGAACATGATTCTGGTTCCAGGTCAATATATGTGTTACTGCTGTAATTCCATTGATGCAACAAGTATTTGCTGAACAGCTCTCTGTAATTCATATTAGATCTTGTAGGAATGGGGAATCAAAGGTGAGTGAAATATGCTTTCTGCCTTTAGAAAACTCATAATCTAGTTTGAGGGACATAATAAATAGCCCAAATAAAAGAGATAAATATCAAAATGGAGTTATCTGAAAATGCTACCTAATGAAAAATTCTTATTGGAGACAATGAAAAATACATCCATTGCAAATCTTAAGCATTGCCCTTTGTGGTACTATCATATCTTGTTATCTTTCATATCAAAATATGACACTGTATCAAGCTAGCCTTAAGGAGCCAAAAATACTACAATAGCTGATAATGCCAGATAAAAGAAAGAACAAGGCTCTGAGCCCAGAAGTTGGAGTGTAACTCCGTAAGGGCCACCAGCCTGGCTGTTGGATTATTTTGCAGTATAAGCCAAAGTGTGGCCTCACCATTCAAGGGATCAAAAGGGTCAGAAGATACTAAATACCCTAGTAAAAGTCAGCCCTTAGGAGGTGTAGCTCACCACTGCCGCTGCCACTTCATTCAGATGAAATCGGGGTAAGATGAACACATAGGAGAAAGAAAGAAATTGTAAAGAGACAACTTGCCACTTTTTCAGGATGGTCTGTAGAAGTACAGAATGACTTTGACTAGATTTGGTGATGATGGTCTTGGGGGTGCAACAAATGCAAATGCTTCAGATCATTTTAGCTCCACCAGCAATTATGTCATGCCCAGCACTGCCAGCTTGACCTTGGGACTTGGAAAACCCACAAGGTGACCATCCTTATTTGCCTATAGATGACCCTAACCTCTGCTCTTCCTACCAAAAGACACTAAAGCCAACTGGTTATTTGCAGACAAAGAAGCTACATCCCATGATCATAAATCAATGACTAACATCTGAAAGGCTTTCTGGAGGGAAAAAATTAATATTGCTTAATAATCTGAAAGCACAGCTGAGTTTGCTTCCTAATTAAAATCATATATTTTAACTAATATATGAAACCACATTAAATAGAAATCACTCAGGGTGCCCTTTCTTTCTCATTTTACTTTTTAAGTGTTCCTTTTTAATAAAATTTAGGGGTGACAGAGGGGGACACTGAATTTTAAATTACACATACAAGAATGCTTTTTAAAAAATTCAATGCTCAAAAAAAAAAAACAGGAACACCTATTTTAAGAAATAAAAGAGGCTGGGGGCAGTGGCTCACGCCTGTAATCCCAGTACTTTGGGAGGCTGAGGTGGGTGGATCACCTGAGGTCAGGAGTTCGAGACCAGCCTGACTAACATGGTGAAATCCCATCTCTACTAAAATATAAAAATTAGCCAGGCATGGTGGCGGGTGCCTGTAATCTCAACTACTCGGGAGGCTGAGGCAGGAGAATCACTTGAACCCAGGAGGTGGAGGTTGCAGTGAGCCAACATCGTGCCATTGCACTCCAACCTAGGCAATAAGAGTGAAACTCCATCTCAAAAAAATAAATAAATAAATAAATAATAATAAAAAGAAATTTTAAAAAACTGTGAAAAAAGTTACAGACAAAGACTATAATATAAAGATATGTGACAATCAGTTCTGAGGGAAAACAAAGCCAACAGCAATGTCAAAATGAAAAATGAAAGCATTAGCTAGGATTAAATTTCCCTTAAATTCAATCTCCAAGAAGAAAGAAAGAAAAAAGAATTCATTGAGTAAATGAACATAACTTTAGCTAAAGTCGAAGTTGTCATTGTTATTGCAGTAGCTCTTGAAGAGGCCACTTTTATAATAAATATAATTGTCTATTACAATAAATAAGTGCCTTTGAATAATTGTTTTTCTCACTTTATTTATTTATTTATTTTTGAGACAGAGTTTCACTCTTGTTGCCCAGGCTTGAGTGCAATGGCGCGATCTTGGCTCACTGCAACCTCCGCCTCCAGGTTCAAGCAATTCTTCTGCCTGGTCCTCCCAAGTAGCTGGGATTACAGGCATGCGCCACCATGCCCGGCTAATTTTTTTATTTAGTAGAGATGGGGGTTTCATCATGTTGGTCAGGCTGGTCTCAAACTCCTGACCTCAGGTGATCCACTACCTCAGCCTCCCAAAGTGCTGGGATTACAGGTGTGAGCCACCACACCCGGCCTTCTCACTTTACTAATAGAATAATCATATTGAAGAGTCAGAAATTTTCTTTTAAAACAGCAATAAGGAATATGAAACATGAGAATAAAATCTAGAAACTTTCCACCTGATTAGAGAAAAATAAAGTTGACGATAGATCATTTAAAAAGTGAAAATAAGCTCTGAACTGAAAAGAAACACACACGTCCCCAGGGAAAGCCCAGTAGCAAATACACCGATAGCTTCTTTCTGTTCCCTGTGGACTCCAATTTCTCAGGAATACACATTTTCAGGGAGAGCCAAGATTCTATTCTTGACACTGGAGGCAATAGAGGGAAGTCAATACCAACAGGAAAAAGTCAAGAAGTTAAAGTGAAAAATGCAAGAAAAGTCAAAACCACTCAATGCTTATCTCTCACCTCCACAAGCTCAAGCCCAGACTCTCAGTGTGGCACAGGAGACTCCGTGACCTGGCCCCGCCAGCCTCCTCTGCCTTGTCTCACCTTCCCTTTAGGCTTCAGGAACACTGGTTTGTCATGTTCTCGCACAAACCAGGCCCCCTCATCTGACTTGCTTCCTGCCGTGCCACTTTTCCTTTGCCTGCTTCAGGGCTGCCCATCCTCTCATGCTCAGGAAGTCTTCTCTCACGTCCCAGTAATCCCATAACAATGACCCTTGACCCCTGTTTTGTAATTGCACTTTTGAACGACTGTCTCTCGGATCACCTAGTGACCTGGACAGGGCTGGGTCAATGTTTACTACAACAGCATTGGATCCAGGCATGTGGCCCTTCGTTAAGTGAATAAATAACTGGGATATTTGTAAACTTTCATTCAGACATTTATTCAACTTCTGCTGGCAAAAACCTCCTAAGCAATGTTCCAGGAACTGTGAGGGTAACGGGGAAAAGAGAAAGGAAAGGAGGAAGGGAGGGAGGGGAGGGGAAGGGAGGGAATCCACAGTGAGCCCTGTGTCCTTAAAGACAATTCCTTTTAATTGTGGGGTGGGTGGTTGGGCAGGGGTAAAGGAGATAAATTTAGGATATGTTTAAAAGTTTGGGAAGGAGAAAAGTATGAAAGAGAAGAAAAACAGAGTACTCTTATAACCACTCATTAAGCTGTAGCCATTTGCTTCACAGTTCTAAGCACGTTTGAAGGAGTTCAAGTCAAAAGGGAATGATGTTGAGAAGTGCTTTGCAGATAAATTATATCTTACGATTATAATAATGACTACATAAGAAATTAAAATATAATTGTGTTATGTATGTATACATAATAACAATCATTTATTCAGTACTTTTCACTTTCCAGGCATTGTGCCAAGCATTTACACACACTTTCTCATTTAATTCACACAACTTGATACAGTAGGTATTAATATCCTCACTTCATAAATGAAGAAACTAAAGTTTAGAAAAGTTAAATAACTTACCCAAGATCACACAGCTATAGTGCCTACCTATCTTGCATATATCTAAATAATCAAAAAGATAAATAAATTAGTTAACTAAAATGTCCCATCACCATACATAAACTGACTTATCCAAACAGTAGATGTTCTTGGAAAGAGTTTGCTGATACTATTGTCTTTTACAGAAACATCACCTGTGTCTCCAACACACCAATAATTCTTCCTCAAAATGGAATGCTACCTTTATTTAGATTCTGGTTAATTATAAATGAATCACAACTAGTGAATTGTTTCCTTGAAATTTGTCCCAAAATTTTTAGGGAAAGGTTTATAAAACAAAATTGAGGTTTCAACCTCATAATTTAACCATCATGTGGGTCTTGAGACATTTATTGACATAAGTACTTCAGAATTACAAAATAGAGAGATCTAGGGCTCTGACTGTTAAAGATTAAAATAAAATTACTTAAGAAGTTTAATGAATGCAAAATCCCTTTTTATTTGCTGGGAACACTGAGCAGGAAGTTCTGTGGTTGTTTCATTGTGTGCTCATGAATTACTATGATTATGTGGTTTAAGACAATTTATTTTTATTTATATATGCTTCTTTGAAATCACTGCTACTCACATTGCCCTTTATTCATCATTTTTCTTATCTAAAAATATAAATCTTTATGTTTAGTGACTTCTTAATTCAATTAAAATCCTTTGTCTCAAAATTTTGAAATGACTGCTTTTGCAGAATTCAAGATTGAGCAGAAACATTAAATGTAATAATGGGCACTAATGAGCAATAAAACTAAAAGGCTAGAATTAAATTGTTTCAAGTCATTATCAAAATTTATTTTCAATTCAGTTCTCAATGGAAGATTCGTTGAGTTCTCTCTCCTCCCTCACAGAAACTGCGGCTGATGGTTCTGGCATTGTATGACCCAGCTCTCTTCTGTCTTCCTTGCATTGTTCTTTCCCAGATAGAAAATGTTTGAGTTCACCAATAGCTTCCAGTATGCCTCCTTCATAGCGATCTCAATGAAAGAAACACTCTGCCCAGCTGACTCCAAATTGAAGGATTTTGTTGTTGTTTTACTGCCCTCGAGCTCAATGGAAAGGTTGGATTTGTGCCCCTGGCTGAAGTCTAGAGCGTTCTTAAGAAACGATGTACTCTCCCTAGTGACTACACTGAGTAATAATGGAGTCCAATCCACCTAGCCCATAGTATTTGTGGATGCAGTGGATGCTATGGTACAATGTCTAGATGTTCCCCACGCTGGACTAAAGAATTTATTTTGAATTGCCTCAACTGAAGAGAATTTACCTCTCCCCAGGCCGTATCACCTACCCAGAGCAGACCACATCCGACAGTTGGTCCATGTAGGGGTAACAAGGCCCTTCAACCATGCTCCAACCCAGGAAAACTCTGAAGGGCTGATATGGTTTGGCTCTCTGTCCCCACCCAAATTTCATCTTGAATTGTAATCCCCACGTGTTGAGGGACGAAGGTGATTGGAACATGGAGGCAGCTTCCACCATGCTGTTCTCATGATGTTGAGTGAGTTCTCATGAGATCTGATGGTTTTATTTGGTGGTTTCCTGGCTCTTTACCCTCCTGCTGCCTCATGAAGAAGGTGCCTCCTTCCTTTTCTGCCATGATTGTGAGTTTCCTGAGGCCTTCCTAGCCATGCTGAACTGTGAGTCAATTAAACCTCTTTCCTTTAAAAATTATATAGTCTCAGGGAAGTTCTTTACAGCAGTGTGAAAACAGACTAATACAAGGGCTATGTTAGCTCCCAATCCCTGGGACGCTGAGACAATCCTCAGACTCCATTACAGCCCATCTTCTCCCTCTCCGTATCCTGCTTCCCTTCCCTTCCCATCTACATGTGATGCTCCAAGAGCACTGCCCAATAACTTCCTACACTCTCGTGTCCCTCTCAGAGTTGGCTTCCAGGGGAACTCAATCTATGACAACAGACAAATCCTCACTTTGACAAAGGTACCACAAAACTTAATTTGTTAAATATTTCAATTCCAAACAACATTACATTTAACCTTTTTCTGGAATCTAAAGAAACTACTATATGGTGTTATTGTTACATACTGAATCTTCATTCTATTTCCATTTTTTAATCAAGTCATTTCATTAATTCCTTCAACAAATACATTTTGTTCACTTTTAAAATTGTTTATAATTTATTCAACAAACATATTTACTTGATGCCAAATTTCCTTTCTTAAGGCACTCAAAGCATAATAGAAAGAGAGACAATTTTCCCAATAGCATAAAAAGTATTAGGTGACAGATAAAGAAATGATATCTAAGCTGAGTCTCAAGGGACAGGTAGGCTGGCAGGATGCGGAGGAGGGTGTCCCTGGTAGAGAGGGCAACATTGAAAAGGCAGGGCGGGATTAGAGTTCATTGCACAATACAGGGGTGACGAGGAGTTCATTACAGCCGTAGCAGAGGCTGCAAGCAGGGTAAGTGGGAAAAGAGGCTGGAGCCTGCAAGATGAGAACAATGTCACGCCAAGGATGATGGGCATGTTCTTAAAGGCCAAGTACAGAGTGACATGATTATATTTTATTTTTTTAAATGTTACTTTGGTAGCAGGATAAAGTTTGGATCAGAACAGTACAAGACTGATGCTGGGAGACTGTAAGGAGGCTATTTTAAGAATCCAAGTAAGAAATAATGGGGGCTTGAACAAAGGCAGTGAAGGAGGAAAGAAGAAAACAGACTCCAAAGACTACAAAACTAGACTCCGCAGGACTTAGTAAACCACTTAGAAATTGAGTTGTTACTCCTTGTCATATATATAAAATATCATATATATTTAAAATCATATTAAAAATATTTTTAAATAACAGTTATTTTTAAATAACGCGGTTATTATTAGGTGGTAATGTTATAGGTGATTTTTAATTTCCTTACTTTTTAAAATCTGTTTTCTTATGAATTATTAACAGAGGCCTTATACAAATTTTGTAATAACAAAAAACAATTATTAAAATAAGTAAAGACAGCACAGTACCATTTGGCACAGCCAGATAGATTTTTATTTCTAGATAGTGTTCTCTAATAAGAGGAAACAGAGCTTCTTGGAGAAATGGCTGATTCCAGGGCTGGGCCAGGGTGAGTACAAGATGAGCCCTAAATATCTCATGATGCCAGGACACAAGAAAGTGCCTGACAAAATGTTGGAGGCATGTTAAATGGAAACAGGGGCCTCCATCAGCCAAGTTTGAACAATTCATCAGCGAAGTTTGTCTGGCTAGAGTTATCACATTAAGCATATTAGAAATTAAAATTGAAAAATAATATTTAATAGCCCATTTTAAAATAGTAATATGTTATTTGTTAATGTAACATATTTTTGTAAAAAATAACTATATTTCCAAAAAAATTGGTTGTGAAGAATTGTTTTATACTTCATAAACAAAATAATCATACCAACAGATTATAATCTGTGACCAAGGTTCACCCGGCAAATGACTCCTGGCCTCTGCTTTTCTGTGTCAGTACCTGGAACTGTGGGTGAGAGGCGTCCTCCAACAGACCGGTCTCTGCCTTTCTTTTCTGCCCACCTCCTGTTGGCTGCCCCCAAACTGCCTTGTACATAGAAATATCTTCAGTTTCTTAGAAGAGATGCTCTTCTTTAACATATCCTTACCTCATCACCTCGTCTGCTTGGAATTTCCCCCTTCCCACTACCTGTCACTCTCCTTCCTTCTCACTGCACCCTTCTTGCAGGTGAGTTCTAATTCCATTAGCAATCAGCCCTCAACTAAAGCCCCATCCCCATGGAAAGTCCGCCCTGGCCCCTACTTTCCTCCATTTTACTCTCATTCTCAGCTGCCCAGGCAGAGATGGGCTTTCCCTCTTCTGCCCTCATTTGGACCTTTAAATACCTTTCTTTTTTTTACTAATTACACTGTAAGGTATTTTGAGTGTATATCTGAGTCTCTCCCTGGAGATTCTAAGACTCTGGTTAAGGACAGGTTTTATTTGCCTTTTGTACCTCCAGGACTAAGTCTAGTGCCAGCATGTAGAATAAATACAAGAGTTCTAGACTGAGTAAATAGAAAGAAGAAACAGATTATAATCTAGAGAATAAAATAAGAATCCTTGATTCTATAACTCTTATAATGGAATGGATAAGTAAACAGGTGAGGGAGAAGAAAAAGCACTTCCTTACCACTGAATTCCAATGAAACAATGCAGAAGGAACAAAGAAAATAGAAAATCACCTCTGTAAAAATTGTTTCAGGCAAGAATCAACAGCAGTTGCTAAAATCAGTGGACAGGAGTATCATGAATGACATACAGAATAGCTCTATAAGTCTCATAGTGTCTTCTCACAAGAGTAAAACAGCAGGCGAAAAAATCTGACAGACTTCACGGGACCAAGTTATAATTTAACATCACCAGTAATGAAAGAAATTGACATCATTTGTCTCCTGATGTGAGGTACCAAAGGGACACAGCACAGGTTCTGTGGTATTCTTACAAAAAATGTATGATCTGAATTTAACCACGAGGAGGCATTAAAAAATTCCAGATCAAGGGCCCTCTTTTAAAATAACTGGCCAATACCTTTTTATTTTTTTGAGATGTTGTCTTGCTCTGTCGCCCAGGCTGGAGTGCAATGGTGCGATCTTGGCTCACTGCAAACTCCGCCTCCTGGGTTCAAGAGATTCTCCTGCCTCAGCCTCCCGAGTAGCTGGGATTACAGACACATGCCACCACACCCGGCTAATTTTTGTATTTTTAGTAGAGACGGGGATTCGCCATGTTGGCCAGGCTGGTCCGACCTCAGGTGATCCACGCGCCTCAGCTTCCCAAAGTGCTGGGGTTACAGACGTGAGCCACCACACCTGGCCTGGCCAATACTTTTTAAAAGCATCAAGATATCAAGAGTAAATATCAAGTATCAAGACAGATAAATAAAGAATGATAAAGAAAGAGGAAATGTTTCAAACTAAAGGAAAATAAAGGGGCACGATGACTAAATCCAATGTAAAATCCTGGATTGGATCCCAGATAAGAAAAAAAAAATTAGAAAGAATTGGGTCCATGAATTAGATCAGCAGTTCTCAACATTTTGGTCTTATGATCCCTTTACCTGTCTAAAATATATTAAGAACCCCAAAAGCTCTTGTTTATGGCTGGCTATAGTGATCACATTAAGCATATTATAAATTAAAATTGACAATTAATATTTAATATTATTATTTAAAAATAATAATATATTACTTCTTAATGTAACATATTTTTGTAAAAAATAACTATATTTTCCAAAAAGAACAATTATTGTGAAGAGTGGCATTGTTTTACACTTCTGAAAACCCATTTAATGTCTGGCTTTCTGGAAGGAAATTTGTTTCTCTGCCTGTGCACACAGTCCGTTCACATGTCATAAAGCCTCAGGAAAACGCATGAGAAAATGAAAGCGAAGAAGGAAAATCATATGTAGCATTATTATGAGCAAAGTTTGGACCTGATAGTTTCCCTGAAAGTTTTTTGAGAACCCCTAGGGGTTCCTGGACCACATTTTGTGAACCATTGCTTTAGATAATAGCATTGTTGTCAAAGCTAGTTTCCTGATTTTGACAGTGAGACTGAGATTATGTAAAATGTTAACATTTGAAGAATCTGGATGAAGAGTATAGGTGAATTCTTTGTATTATTTTTGTAACTTTTTTTTTTTTTTTGGAGACATAGCCTCGCTCTGTCACCAGGCTGGAGTACAGTGGCCTGATCTTGACTCACTGCAACCTCCGCCTTTCAGGTTCAAGCAATTCTCCTGCCACAGCCTCCTGAGTAGTGGGACTACAGGCGTGCCACAATGCCCAGCTAATTTTTTTATTTTTAGTAGAGATGGGGTTTCACTATGTTGGCCAGGATGGTCTCAATCTCTTGACCTCGTGATCTGCCCACCTCGGCCTCCCAAAGTGCTGGGATTACAGGCGTGAGCCACCATGCCCGGCCAATTTTTGCAACTTTTTTGTAAGCCCGAAAACATTTCAAAATGCAAAATTTAAAAATACAGTAGTAAACATTAAATAAGTAAAGCATTTCAAATTTCAAAAGCTGAGGAAAAATACATAGAGATAGAGGGAAGCTGGAATCAAGAATAAATTCCTGGTTTCTGGATAGACGTTGGCAGGGGTAATATTCGAAGTATTTTTCAACCAGTATGGCATTGGTACTGACACAGCAAAAGCCCACGAGCAACCATGACAGTTCTACCAGTACACATCAGCTAAGGCTAGTGCTATTGCTAAACTGGAGAATATAAGAGGAGAAATAAGCGGGGGAGCTGGTGGGGGAACGGGCAGAAAAGGCATGTTGCGAAAGATGGCAAGTTTTATTCTGAATTGACCTCAATTTGAAGGTGAAATGCAAGTGACAGGAATCCCACTAGAATTAGTTAAGATCAAGGGGAAACTTACTGGGAGGCTCACATAACTACAGAAAATGAATGCTTACTGAGCCTCGCTGAGGATGAAACACTTTCAGTCTCCCTTTCTCTTTCTTTCTCTCATCTCTGCTTCATTCTCTTCTACTGCCACCTGGCATTTCCACTGAGCAGGGAACATGACCACAAACGATTCATGAACCTTACTTCTCCATCCCCAGAAAGAGCCCAATCTCTAATCCCAAATTCAGTAATACTGGGAAACCAGTCTAATTAATCCAGTTGGGTCACTGATTGGCCCATTCTTGGACCAATAGAAGGTGGCCAGGAAAATGAGGAACTATGATTGGCCCAGCACAGGTCAGGGGCCTTTCTTACCTCGAGCATTTCCCTCTCTTCCAGAGAGACAGAGCCAATAAGAAATTTCATTCAAATTACATGTTTGAAAGGATAGCTTCCCATTGGACCAGTGTGGCTACTCTAAGCAGACAGTATAGTAGGTGGCCACTTCATAGTCCCTGTGGGGAGAGATTCAAGCGGAGATTGCAGGAAACCTTTGAATATATCTTAAAACAAAATCTGAGCTGACGATAAAAATTAAGGTTTCATCAGCACATATGTGATCTTTATATTCCCATTAAATGGCAACTCTCTATTCTCCCCCACCCCAACCCAACCCTTGGCAACCACCATTCTGCTCTGTTTCTATGAGTTTAACTATTTTATTTATTTTGTAGTTTTCTTTTCTTTTTTCTTTTTTTTTTTTTTTTTTTTTGAGATGGAGTCTTGCTCTGTCGCTCAGGCTGGAGTGCAGTGGCGCGATCTCGGCTCACTGCAACCTCTGCCTCCCAGCTTCCAGCAATTCTCCTGCCTTCAGCCCCCCAAGTAGCTGGAACTATAGGCGCACGCCACCATGCCCTGCTAATTTTTTTGCATTTTATTAGAGACAGGGTTTCATCATGTTGGCCAGGCCAGTCTCAAACTCCTGACCTCAAGTGATCCTCCCACTTCGGCCTCCCACAGTGCTGGGATTACAGGCCTGAGCCACCATGCCTGGCTGAGTTTAACTATTTTAAGTATTCCATGTATTAATAAGTGGAATCATGCAGTATTTGTTCTGTGACTGCCTTATTTCACTTAGCATAATGTCCTCCAGAGCATATATCTCTGCCTCTGTGAGATTAACTTTTTTTAGCTCCGACTTATGGAGTGAGAACAGGTCATATTTGTCTTTCTGTGCCTGGTTCATTTCACTTAACGTAACAACCTCCATCCAGTTCCATCCACGTTGTGGCAAATGACAGGATTTCATTCTTTTTTACGCTTGAATAGTATTCCATTGTGTATATATGCCGCATTCCTTTATCCATTCATCCATTGATGGACACGTTGGTTGATTCCGTATCTTGGCTATTGTGAATAGTCACAATACACATGGACATGAAGTAACCCCTTTAACATATGAATTTCCTTTCTTTTGGATATTTACCCAGCAGTGGGATTGCTGGATCACATGGCAGATCTATTTTTAGTTTTTTGAGAAACATTCATACTGTTTTCCATAGTGGCCATACCAAATTACATTTCCACCAACAGTGTATTAGCGCATCTCTTTCTCTGCATCCTCACAAGCATCTGCTATTTTTTGTCTTTCTGATAACAGCCATTTTTACTGGGGTAAGATGATATCTCACTGTGGTTTTGGTTTGCACTTCCCTGTTGACCAAATGCATATTTTCTAAAGCCATCATTCTTTCTACATGTATTTATGTTACCTTTTTACCATAAGGAAGTGCTTTCTCTTCTCCCCATTATTGCTTGTTTATATCAGTACAGACTCATGAGTTTTTATTTCATTCAATGGACCACAATCCATTACTATCATTATGGATTTTGATGCTCAAAGTGTCTTAGATTAACCCAGAGGGGGCTCCAACAAGCTGGATCGTGTCCTTTAAACATTCCTTCATCATTTTACTACCTGGCACCACAATATGCTCCAGGTTTGTCTTAGTTTATTTGGGTCGCTATAACAAAATACCATAAACTAGGTGGCCTATAAACAACAAAAATTTATTTCTCACAGTTATGGAGCCTGGAACACCCAAGATCAAGGAAGCTTTCCCTGATACATAGACGGTGCCTTTCTGCTGTGTCCTTACTTGCTGGAGGGGGCAAGGCAGCTCCCCGGAGCATCTTTAATAAGGACACTTATTCCAATCACGAGGGCTGCAGCCTCATAGCCTAATCACACCCCAAAGGCCCCACCTACTAGTGCTATCACCTTGGGAGCGAGAATTTCAACATATGAATTTGGGTGGGGGGGGTGGGCAACACAAACATTCAGACGATAGCACTGGGGATAAGGTAGATCTTTCAAAATAGTTAAATTGATTTTACCTGTAGACAACACTCTAAGAAAAAATGGAGATGTTCAAAAGAAGCTGCCAGGCAAACTATCAGCTTCCAGAATTGCTGATTTGTATGCTGAAATAAGTCTATAATTTAGCAAATTGACTCACTAAAATGACTGGGCAAGTGGAATGTGCTCTAATGGGACTTTTGACATCCCGCCCTCTACACAGGCAGCTGTAAACACATTTACTATCCAATCTCAAAAGCTCACATTGGTGATCATTGCAATATATGCCAGAGATTTTACAAGAATAAACAAAATGCTCTTTATACTGACAGCTCGTCTCTCACAGTTCATGACCTAAGATAAACATAACGGTAAGCCTTGTGACTGGACCTCCTATAACCCTCCCCTTGGTGCCCCCGGCAGCCTCCATCCTCACTCCCCTCCGATCCATCCCGCATGCTCCTTTCAGAGCAATCTTCCTGTAAATGCAAACCTCATCATGTCATTGCTGGGGAAGAAACTCTCCAGTGGTTTCCCATCACAAACCATTAATGTCTAGATGCCTTAGCCTGGCACACAAGATGCCTGTGACGTTGCCCAGCACACTCCTCTCCAGGCCCTTTAAATAAAACCCCACAAGCCCTCCAAGCCTTTGCTGCACTGTGGCTGCTCCGGATTTGTTCCATGCCATTCTGCCCATCTTCTGCCTTCTCTGTTTTGCCAACCATATTCCAGCTCTGCACCCTGGAGCCTCATGTCAGTCCTGCCCTTTGGATCTGCAGCTTGTGCTAGAAATTGCTCTCTGGCTTTCCCTTTGACCAAGGTTCACCCGGCAAATGACTCCTGGCCTCTGCTTTTCTGTGTCAGTACCTGGAACTGTGGGTGAGAGGCGTCCTCCAACAGACCGGTCTCTGCCTTTCTTTTCTGCCCACCTCCTGTTGGCTGCCCCCAAACTGCCTTGTACATAGAAATATCTTCAGTTTCTTAGAAGAGATGCTCTTCTTTAACATCTCCTTACCTCATCGCCTCATCTGCTTGGAATTTCCCCCTTCCCACTACCTGTCACTCTCCTTCCTTCTCACTGCACCCTTCTTGCAGGTGACTTCTAATTCCATTAGCAATCAGCCCTCAACTAAAGCCCCATCCCCATGGAAAGTCTGCCCTGGCCCCTACTTTCCTCCATTTTACTCTCATTCTCAGCTGCCCAGGCAGAGATGGGCTTTCCCTCTTCTGCCCTCATTTGGACCTTTAAATACCTTTCTTTTTTTTTTTTTACTAATTACACTGTAAGGTATTTTGAGTGTATATCTGAGTCTCTCCCTGGAGATTCTAAGACTCTGGTTAAGGACAGGTTTTATTTGCCTTTTGTACCTCCAGGACTAAGTCTAGTGCCAGCATGTAGAATAAATACAAGAGTTCTAGACTGAGTAAATAGAAAGAAGAATCACAACTGAACAAAAGAATAAGTTAAATATGCCACTGAGTTCATCCTGTATGTCTTCTGTTTACTCAAGTACAAATATAAAGGGTACGTTGATATAGTCTTTCACACTTTCACTTACTGTTTTGAAATGTAATGCATGGTAGCATTAAAGGAAATTTTATAAGAATTGGTAGGTGTAAGGCCCTACCCCTCACACTACTGTTTTCTTTACCCCAGGTTTCCTTTTATTCCTTTTTTTTTTTTTTTTTGCCTATATACTTCTCCTTGGCAGATACAGAATCAAATGTTGTGTAATTTTTATTTGCCTTTTTGGTTAAAATTGTCCTTTTAATATTTTACACATTGCTAAATCATTTATACTTTTTTAGAAGGATTCTACCAATTTGCAATGTAAAGACACATTTTTATCACTAAGATTAAGTCGATCTTTATCTGATTTTACTCCAAGTTCAATTTTATTGCAGCAGTAAATTTTGAGCTCCTAGAGTGTTAAAACAGTGTTTCCTATCTCTGTATTCCTGGTGCCTAACAAACAACTGATACTTAATAAATCTTTGTTGAAAATATGAAGGTATTTTACTTATTGTATATGTAAAAATTATATCAATAAGTATTTATAAATTATATATGTGTGTGTATATATATATATATATATGAATAAAATTTGGCAGAGCAATCTAATCTAAGTTCTTTTCACATACCCCAAGCCTGAGCAGATAGGCAAAACCCCACTGAACCAAATCTTTTCTAAAAGCTTGATATTCTATCCTATACTCAAAGACTGCTGAAGGCAACCTCACAACCTTCTTTAATGGTTCATTTTAATGCTAATAATTGCCAAATCAGAAGGCTGTTTGCTTCTTCCTCTCTAACCAAAGTTACCTACAGTACAAAGTAAGTGTATTTTTTTTTCTTCCCTTCCCTTCCTTTTTCTCTTTCTTTTTCTGTTCTTGGTGAAAACAAACCAGTTGGCTTCTGGATATAAGCTTGCCAGGTCCTCTCTGAGCTTCTCATTCTCACAAATGAGGTAAGATCATTCACTCATTTTCTATATGAGATTCTGGGGGTAGTCTTTGGTTTTAAATACACTTTTTTCTTTCCTCTATTTTTATTCCATCTGATTCTAGAATATGTGTGCTCTAGAAATTGAGAATATGGTTCATGTTATTCTGTATTCTAATCATAAATTTCTAAACTTAAAAAAACCATTACAAAATAGAATATGATATGATTTACAAGTTATATAAATAAACTTTTTTTAGAGTTGGCCATTCAAAGTGGTATATATTTACTGGAGTCATTTGAAAGAAGGGCCATGGTAAGTCTGGGTATAGAATAAAACGTAGCTGGTGACTGATCACTCAGAATCCTGCCTCAATGGGAAGCATCCCTTACTCTGAAAAATTTACCAGGTTGTAACTGAACTCTTTGGAAATCTAGAAATTTAATCATTTATGAAAGTTAAATTCACTGAAGATTGAAAAACAGAAACCAGAGTAACAAAGGAGTCATTTGCAATAAGAAACATCGTCACCAGCCAGGGAGCTTGCGCAGTCTGGTCAGCCCAACTTCTGCTCAGGCCAGACACACGGGAGTGCCAGGGAGCTGCAGGGCAGCTGGAATAAGCCTAGGGATCTCCCTGCCAGCCACCTTGAAATACCATGTTCCCAAGTCACTGCTCCACGAAGGCACCAACGTATGCTTCCTGTAACTGTTAAGAACACAGGCTTCAATGTCTAACAGAGCTGTGTGAAAATCCTGGAGCCGTCGCCTTAATATCTATATGAAGTTAACAAATCATTTATCCTCCATGAGCCCATTTCTTCACTTGAAAAACAGCGTGTCACAAAGTTGTGTGAAAAATGTACATAAGGTACTTGGCTACATGTCTGGCATATAATGTGGGTTTAATAAAGGTTCTGGTTTCTTAGGGTGATGCTACACATCTTCATTTGATCCATTATATGGGTTGACTTAAAATTTATCCCTCTAAGGACAATCTTGTTTTTCTTCTTTCTATCTTTAATCATTAATTAATCACTCATTCATACATTCACTTATTCAACAACTGTTTATTTTGTGCTAGGAACTGTTCCATGCACTAGAGACACTGCTGTGAAAAGAATATATAAAGTCCTTACCCTTATGGGACTTACATTCTACTGGTGAAAGACAATAAGCACATAACAACATACAGTATGTCGACGTATACATTTAATGGTGTAATGATTTATTTTTCCCATAACTTATTTAATCAGTGGTATTTTCCCTTTCATATTTCTCTGATAGGATCTCTCATTTCATTTTCTTTTAGTCATTGACTTGCTTTCATGTGATTTTTTAGATTTCAGTGATTTGGGTTTCAATTTAGAGTTGATACAAGAATGATAGAAAGAAAGCAGACCTTTGCTCCCCTGTGAAGAAAGAAAAATCAGGAAAAGGAAATCATAGTGAGGAATTACCAGGCATTTACTCTATTATTCTCTCTCTAGAAAGGTCAAAGATGTTGCCTAGTGCTGACTCTGAGGTGAAATTTAGTCACACTAATATATAAATGACTTATAAGAACATAAATTGTTATTCCTCTTCAAAATTTTTGCACTTGATAATTAAAATGTTGCACTTAGGAACATTGGGATTGATTGCATTTGTGTGTTAGAAAAGTGGATACTGGAACCTTCTATAAGTATGTAGATCACACCCTATAGGCAATTATTAACTTCCATGTGCTTCCAAAAACAGAACCTAGAATACTCTTTAGAGTCCTAGAGGTGAGAATATTTTCTCTCTATTGGTCCCAGAATTTCTTACCGTCATTCCTTCCACTCCAATGTTCACTTCCATGTCTGTCTTTGCTTTGGGGCCATCATAATGAATTGGAACAGTGTTTAAAGGAGAGAAAAAGGGAAGAGGATGACCAGTTGAAGGGAAGTTTCAAAGATTCTTTTTGTTCTTCAATTTTAGCAGCTGTTGAAGATAAGGCTCTAGAAGACAGGAGACCATATAAATGCAAATTTTGAAAAATTATTGCAATATCCTATTCCTTTCCTGAAACCAAAAAGCAATGATTAGTATATGTTTGTACATTCATTCATTCTTTTTTTTTAACAAACTTGATTAAGTAACATTTTTTAGAATACAGTCTTCAAACA